>NC_000001.11:235729576-235881091 GCF_000001405.40 Homo sapiens
TCTTCAAAATTTGACTTACCTAGTAACAATTCACCAGCTGTCTCTCTAGATGGTGCAACACTGATGCATCTTCGATTCACTCTGTCAAAACATATTTAAAATTACTATGACTAAATGTTCTGACCAATTTCAGAGAGGATATGCTTTATTTTACCTAGTAAAAGATTTCTGCAAAGCAGACTAGATAGAGTTCCAATAGCATGAGGTATCTTGTCGAAACCCACATGAAAATATTAGCTCCTTTTTAGCATTCTATTAGAAGAGAAATGACTGAAACGCCTAGAAAAGGCTAATAATCCCTATAACCTGTAGACAGAATATAGAAATTAAGTTATTTAAAAGAGATATCAATATTTTATATTTTCTAATAAATAAGCAAACATTGTTTCATGCCTCTGATACTTCAGATACATTTTTTGTGTGTGCTCTATTTATTTTTGTATTATTATTTTGTATTATTTATTTGTTATATACTATTATTGTATTATTTACATTATTATGAAGGTAATTTATCAAATACATTTTTAAAAAAGCCTAGTATTCTAGGAAAAACAGAGGATTTGGAATCAGAAAGTTCCTTTGTGTTCTTAGCCAATTATCTTCTTTGTGTCTCAGTTTTTCATCTATGAAATGGGTATAATAACAACCACAATAACTGCAATGATAATACTATCAATAGTTAATATATAATAACATACTTAATACTCAACAACGCTATGATACCTATTATTATTTCTTCATTTAATAGATGAGGTAACTGAGACAGAGAGGTTAGGTAACTTGCCTAAGATTAAAGAGCTAGTAAGAGCAGGAACTGGAATCTAAACCTTTAATCACTACGTTATATTGCTGCTTGATGATACCACCAGCAGCTCTATCTATATTAATAGATAGAGATGTTAAACAGTCAATTACAAAATATGTGTGTGTATACATATATATGGGTATATATATATGTACCCATATATGTGTATATATATACATATTTATATGTGTGTGTGTGTGTGTGTGTGTGTGTGTGTGTGTGTGTGTGTGTGTATATGTAAACTAACAAGGGCCAGAACATGATGACTGAAATCCCATGAACTCTTGCTGTCAGAAATGTCATTTCCTTTTGGATTTTGGCCATATAACCTTGTCCTCCCTTGAGCCTTTCCTGTTTAGGATTTTTCTGAAAATGATGGCATTATATAAAATAAATATTACATAAACACTACAATAAGCTGTTGTATATTCATGAAAGAGTGAAGGTCTATTGATTCAAAGTTACCTTATAGATTCACTTGCAGCTTTGTCTTTGACAGTAGAAGAGAAAGAAGAATGAGTTTTGTCTTCAAACAGGTAAGAGAGTGGTGGTTTGACAACATCTGTTGAGGAGAAAAGTAAATATTATCTTTATCTAATGACCATAGTTCTCTGCTATATTTATATGTTGAGTCAAGAAGCCACTATTACCTTCTGATTTCTGTCTATCCCTAAGGAGATACTTATTTGGAATAGTTAAATAACATCTCTGTAAACGTCTCCTCTCTCGATTTGGCCCTTCTGTTGGATCCAACTGCCATGAGGTTGGATAGTAGATGGGGTCATACCATACTGCTCTGCAAGTAAAAAGATTAAAGGGTGTTTTAAGTGACCATCCAGGACTTGTAGCTATAAAAAAAATCATTATAGAGATTGAGTAAGTAAGTCACAACTGATCTGTTAATTTAAAAACTCCAAATGTTTATATATTTGATCAGGGAATGCATATACAAGTAGAAGTAATAAAATCTAAGTGTCTTTTTGCTCCTGAATCCCAGTCTCCCAGTTCCTCGCCTGAAGGCAAGCTCTGCTTCCAGTTTCTTTCAACTATTAAATTTTTTAAAAGATATGTAATGACTACTATGAACACTTTAGCAACATAATACAACATGCTGGATTTAATATGGTTAGGTAAATTTTTTTTCCAAATTAATTTTTTACATTTCCCATTTTGCATTTTTTTTTTTTTTTTTTTTGAGACAGAGTCTGGCTGTGTCGCCCAGGCTGGAGTGCAGTGGCGTGATCTTGGCTCACTGTAATTTCTGCCTCCCGGGCTCAAGCGATTCTCCTGCCTCAGCCTCCCAAGTAGCTGGGATTACAGGCTCCCACCACACCTGGCTAATTTTTGTATTTTTTTAGTAGAGATGGGGTTTCATCATGTCGGCCAGGCTTGTCTCAAACTCCTAGCCTCAAGTGATCCACCCACCTGGGCCTCCCAAAGTGTTGGGATTACAGGCGTGAGCGCCCTCACCTGGCCTCATTTTGCCTACTCTCTAATGAAACAAATAAAATCAATTTCTTTCTGTGGTATGAATCACATTTTTAAAAAGATTTTAAAATAAATTTTATCTTAGATGAAATAAGACAGGAAAAACATATTAAGTACATTTTTAGAAATAAATAAGAGAAAAAAATACCCTTATTCATACCCTAAACATACCAAAATACTGGTAGCGGTTGTTGTCTTTTTTTTTTAAAACGTGCATCTGTTTTTAATTTGTAGTTATGATCATTATGATCATTTTTCTATAACTTGCCTTATTTTACTGAAACAGTATTATCTTTATCTCATCATTTTGAATGGCTGCCCAATAAAGAGGTAGATGCATTGTAATGTATTTAACCATATTACGGTTTATAACTTGTTTCTAATTCATTCACTAGCATAAATAATGCAGAGATGAAAACTTTTATGTTTACTTTCTTTTTCTTTTTCTTTTTTGACAGGGTCTCATTCTGTTGCCCAGGCCAGAGTGCAGTGGCATGTTCATAGCTCACTGTAGCCTTGAACTCCTGGGCTCAAGTGATCCTCCCGCCTCAGCCTCCCAAAGTACTAGACTACAGGTGTGAGCCACTGTGCCTGGCCTGCCTTCCATATTTCGAATATTTTCCTTAGGATAGAATCACTAAAATAGGATAACTGAAGCTAGAAGTAAAATGTTTTTAGGATGATTAATACATATTGTCAAAATGTACAATGCCACCAAAGTTCTGAGTAAGGACAGCTAATATCCTGCGGTGAATATTAGCAGCCAAAATTTTTGTTAACATAAAAAGTAAAATGTGGTATCTAGAGGTTCTAGAAAACCAAATTAGCCTCTAGCAATATTGAATATTTTCCCGTGTGTTTGGTAATTCATTTGTCTTATGTGAGGAATGTGTTCATGCCTTTTGCTCATTCAAACTTCTGGGATCATAATATTTTACTTTAGAATCTGTGTAAGTTTTTCAAACAATAAAAATAACTTTATTTGCTGAAAATATATTTCCAGGCTTTTTTGTTCTTGTTATGGTTGTTAAATACACTGGAAAAAATTAAGGTTAAAATCCATTGATTTATTTGCAGTTTCTTCTATTGCATTTGAGCTTAGAAAGTCATCTATCCTTCAAAGAGTTGACAAATATCCTATTATCTTCTACTTTATAAACTTTTCGAGTAATTCTTTTATCCATATGGAATTTACTTTAGTGTCTAATGTTTAGTGTATTTTAGTACACCAAAGTCACATGAATAAGTTATCTTAACTAAATTTAGAGAATAATACCTTGATTTCCCGCTTTTTGTTATTTGTAATACATATTTTAAATTAGTTAGAAAAATATATTTTTCTCAACCATCCTGTTTCAGTGATTTCTCTATTCTTTTACAGACCATATTTTAAAATTAAGCTAATTTTACTATCTAGATGAGCTACTGCCCCCCTCATTACTTTTCTTCCTCAAGAATTAAAAAAAACTCATATGATTATTCTTTAAGATGAAAAAAACATCACAAATGATTAAACAAAAAATTGTTTAATGAAATGATTTTATGAGTCTGAATTCCGGAATACAAATTCCGTTTAACATCAATATCTTAAATCTTCATGGAAGACAATTTTAACTGACCTCCCGCAGCTTACCTATCATGTGTCAGCTGCTGAATAAGTTCCTGCCAATGTCTGCTGGCACTCAAATCTACTTTATACATTCCTCTAATATGCTGGATCACCTTTTTTCTCTCATTTCCTTGGGAGAGAGACACTGCCTGGGTGATATCTGCAGCTATTTTAGATATATCCTTTGATTTTGAATCCAGACGCTGAAAGAGACTAAACAAATAATAAGATTGTCCATAGTTAAGCATACATGGAACGTATTTATCAGAACATGATACTTTAAAACTAAAAGTATATGTGAAATCTAATGGATTCCTAAAATACATGCCTTTGGAACATATAAAATCTTACCTTTGTTGATTATTGTTAACTGTTTTCTGCCAAGCAGCTTTATTCACTCCTTCTTCAGTTTCATATTTCTTTTGTTCCTAGAAGATTTAGATAATAATATACTATATAAAATTTATTATTTCTCACCTAACATTGTCACAGAGCCCAACAAACTAATTTTAAAACCCAGTTAACAAAGGAAAAACAATTGTCCCTAGGAGACCAGAATATTAAAATAAATGAACCATCTAAACAATGTTATAATGTTATAATTCTGTGTCTATATAATTTAGGTCACATAAGTTAGAGTAGAATGGTTAACCAGGGTTGCTAAACCTGATGAGTTTACATAGTTGCTTGCCTCCTTACTCTGCTTTTTCATTAAAGAACCTCTAACTCAAGGTATGCTTCAGCTTGCTTGTCACTTTAAAAATCTTTCCTTCACTGAAGGCTACTGATAATGGATACTGATGACCACAGAGAACAAAATGCTCCTTAAAATAAGCCTATTTTTTCTCACATAGACAAAAGCAATATAGTATATAGGAAAAATAAAATAAAATAATCATTTCAAGTTCATCATCAATGATAGCCTGTTCTTAAAAAAGTAGTGTCAATCATTCTTTATCTATGATGGAATCTCCTAAGAAAGTACTATGGTTTCATTGACTCACCTCTTTGATCATTTTAATAAGGTCTGCTTTTGTTGATGCACTGGGAGGGATGCACTTGTGACCACATAACTTCAAAGCATTCATAAGCAGTTCTGCTGTGCCTAGCTCTTCTTCAGTCAATTCACCTTGGTGATTATGTATCAACTCTGACAAATACAAAACTAACTTGGCTCCATGCTTTAAAAAAAGTAATAATTTTTTAGTCATTTAGAATTTTAATTCTTACATTTAAATTACTTAGTAGTAATTAAATTATATTGCTAGATTTATTTGGTTGCATCTGATTTAAATAAAGCACCTACAAAAGACATTCTGAGGATAAGTACAGAAATCTGATTATGCACTGAGTATTTGATGACAGAGGATTAATGCTAATTTTGTTAGATGTAATAATGTTATGTTACATAGGAAAACATTTAAAAAAAAGAATTTAGAGGTAAAATATCATAATTTCTATATATATGTTAAAATAGTTCAGAAAAAGAAGAAATGATGTCAATATAATAAAAATAGTAACAACTGTTAAATCTAGGTGATGGTTCCATGGTATTTATTACGCTATTCTTTCTAGTCTCTGTATGTTTGAAATTTTTTCATATAAAATATATTTTAAAAAGCAAGCAAACTAGCCAGCTAGCTTTTGGGGAAAGAATTTTGGAAAGGACTTGCTAAAGGAATACAGGAAAGAAACTGGGATAAAGGAAGATAATTTTTAGTTTTTCTCACAGAAAAACTGAACTAGAAGGGAAAGCTTCCTTTAGACCTTAAAACTTACTGACTCTTCTTCCTTTGGTGAAATTTCTGGAACTAAAACCTATCTTTAGTTTGTAAGCATTCACTACTCCCTAGAACAAAAGGTGAAAAACTCGCAAACCCCACGCAGACAATTCTATGTATGTATCCATGGCAGAGTTGTTTTAGCCAATCTTTTATTAACAGGCCCTAAAACCAAAATTCACAGTGTTACTTAAGATAATGACAATTGGCCTTTGCAGCACAGACCTAAACCAAACGTTCATTCACGGTTTTTTAAGTGGCCCTTACATGCTGTAGATATTACACCTGATTCTACTGTGTACAGTATGTATTATTTAGACAATAATGTTGCCAACAAGTTAAACATATATATTTTACTTTAAAAATCAGCATTGACACAAATATCACTGTATTTAGTTTTATGACATTTTAAACTGTGAATAGTATTAAATGTCAGCAAATGGATCTGGAAATGATTACATTTTGGGTGATATTTAAATTAACATGCTGAATCACATCGTGTCATTTCCCAAAAGCAAAAGATGAACATATGCAATGGTGAAAATAGTACAGCTCATTTTAATGCAACATTTTAAATTAGTCAGAGACAGCTGCTACCTGACCAAAAGAGAAAAATGAACAGAAGCTCTGTGAGTAAAAGGCCTAAAGAGTTGGCAAATAAATAAAAACGGTACATGACTAAAAGACTTTCCTAAGTGTGTCTTAAAGGTAATGATCTTGATATAACTTTAAAAATATTTCAGTTTGGTATTCAATGACATTCAAAAATTATCTTGAAAAACTATCAGAAATGTTTTTATTCATTGTGAATATCAAAGGAAACACATGATTTTCTTAAACGCTTAAGTTGTTTCTAATATCTCATTTTAATACCCTCTGATCACTTACTGATGATCATTTCAGGGACTATAAAAGGTGTCACTGGGAATAGATAACAAAAAACTCTTATTTTCAGCCCTTAAAAAACTGATTTAAGGAATTGAATCTGTTAAACATGAATCCTTAGAAAATAATAAAGTGCTAAAATATGTAAAATATTTCTTTTCAAAGAAGGTTCTAAGAAGGAAGAGTTCTGAGTAGACTACAGAAAGGGAGAAAGGTTTTAAAGAAGGTATAGAGTGATCTGGGTCATGGCCAAATGAATGGATAGAATGAGGATATAGATAGACAAAGGAGAGAGAGGTGTTCTGTGCTGGTGGACAATATGAATAAAACAGCATGACTGTAAAAATAAACAGGATGTGAAGAGGTTGCAAGACACAAAGATATGATTATCTTGAAAAGAAGAGGGTCAGCAGGCTGGAGAGTTAATCAGAATCAAGTTGTAATGGCAAAGAAGTCTGGGGCTTAAAAAATCCAGGCACATTCCAAATGAAATACAAATTAAATGTATGCAGCTGTGAAAAGGCATAAAGAAGATCACTCTGTACTACTATGTAATAATGATCTCTAGGATATACTAAGTGAAGAAAGTAAGGTGCAGAAGAGTGTGTATACTTTGCTATCTTTCTTTGTGTTATGAAGTAGGGGACAGAATATTTACATGTGTAAATACATGTATACATAGATTTGCTTGTATCTTCAACAGAAAAAAAAAGTCAGTTACCTACACAGAGAGGGAAAAAATAAGAGGAGCGGAAAGGGATAAAAGCTAGAACCTCTCTGAATGTGCTGTTTCACAACGTTGCTTTTAGAACCATGTAGACATTTCACATGATTAAAAACAAAATTAAGCAAACAAACAAAAACCCAAAGGAATCCCAAAAAACTATAAAACAAACTGGAAAAAAAAGCCTACCTACCTATCTAATTGGTTGAAGTTGGCAGCCTGACCAAATAAAGAAAACTATTTTAAGTGCTTTTATAATACAGTATTTTCACTGTATAACCATAATAGTATGCTAAGAAAAAAAGAACCACAAAGACATCTTCAACTGCACTCAGCAGGATTGTTATTAGTGATCATGTTGATCATCTTATTTTGAAAATGTTATATATGTAGAAAGACAAGGCAAATAAGTGATTATGTTAATGTTAGGAACCAAGATATCAACATTAGTAAGAAATACAAATAAAAGAATCCAAGAAAAAGTGAAAGTATAAACTCATGACTTGTCTTTCTAAAAAAATACTTATTTCCTAGCTTTGTCCACTAAAAAAGGCTGAGAAGAAATGACAACCCAGGAGAAATAAACATACCTAGTCCTTAGATTTGTAGTCTCTAAATACTATCATCTCCTTAAAAGGATATAAGGTCTTCTTGGGAGGGAAGTTAGGTTCTAGGTTTGGGGAAGGAATTGCATAAGGTGGGCCTGGGACATTCTTCTGTGCCAGAAAACAAGGAAGTTTAATCATATTAACTTGTTAAAATGAAAAAGGCCATGTCGACACAACAACTTGAATCTACAGAGGTGTTAATTTTAATATCAAACTGAATAATGACTGCAATAGACTAAAACACATAACATTTATTTTAAAATACCTGAGCTCCTAATGACACTCCAAAAATAAAAACAAATACAAGAATTAGAGGCTACTAGGGGCATGAATTCATCATTCCAAAAATTAATAAACAGGGAAGGAAACAGCATTTATCCTGCTTTTCCTTGACTGACTGTATTTAAAGGTAGCGAAGGTGCTGGAGCCGCTGCCGACGAGTCTGGATCTCACTGCCGCGTGCCCCAACACCCGCCGGACGTGCATTCTCGATTCCTTTTGTTTCCAAGTCCAATATACTCTCAAGTATACGCTCAAGGATCAGCTTATTCACAGTCTTCTAAAGGAAGAACAGATCCTCCAGAATAAGATTACAGTTGTTGGGGTTGGTGCTCTTGGCATGGCCTGTGCCATCGGTATCTTAATGAAGGACTTGGCAGGCGAACTTGCTCTTGTTGATGTCATGGAAGACAAATTGAAGGGCGAGATGATGGATCTCCACCATGGCAGCCTTTTCCTTAGAACACCAAAGATTGTCTCTGGCAAAGACTATACTGTAACTGTAAACTCCAAGCTGGTCACTATCACGGCTGAGGCACATCGCAAGAGGGAGAAAGCCATCTTAATTTGGTCCAGTGTAATGTGAACATCTTTAAATTCATCATTCCTAATGTTGTAAAATACAGCCCGAACTGCAAGTTGCTTATTGTTTCAAATCCAGTGGATATCTTTGACCTATAGTGGCTTGGAAGATAATGGCTTTCCCAAAAACCATGTTATTGGAAGTGGTTGCAATCTGGACTCAGCCCAATTCCGTTACCCAATGGGGGAAAGGCTGGGAGTTCACACATTAAGCTGTCATGGGTGAGTCCTTGGGGAACATGGAGATTCTAGTGTGCCTGTATGGAGTAAAGCAAATGTTACTGGTGTCTCCCTCAAGACTCTGCACCCAGATTTAGGGACTGACATAGATAAGGAACAGTGGAAAGAGGTTCACAAGCAGGTGGTTGAGAGTGCTTACGAGGTGATCAAACTCAAAGGCTACACATCCTGGGCCATTGGACTCTCTGTGGCAGATTTGGCAGAAAGTATAATGAAGAATCTTAGGCGGGTGCACCCAATTTCCACCATGATTGGTGGAATAAAGGATGATGTCTTCCTTAGCATTCCTTGCATCTTGGGAGAGAATGGAATCTCAGACCGTGTGAAGGTGACTCTGACTCCTGAGGAAGGGGCCCATTTGAAGAACAGTGCAGATCCACTTTGGGGGATACAAAAAGAGCTGCAATTTTAAAGTCTTCTGATGTCATACTATTTCACTGTCTAGGCTACAATAGGATTTTAGTTGGAGGTTGTGCATATTGTCCTTTTTATCTGATCTGTGATTAAAGCAGTGATGTTAAGATGGATTGGGAAAAACATCAATTCCTAAGGTTAGAAATAGGAATGGTTTGTAAAATCCTACAGTATATTCTGTAGGTACTATATCCTGTAGGTAGCTATAACTTGTAGTACCATTCTGTAGGCTGGATGGTACTAATCTTGTGTAGTCCTAAACTGGTTTGTGTGAAATAGTTCTGACACCTCTAAGGCACCACTGCCAATGCTGCACATGCTGCAGTTGGCCCTTGAGCCAGATGGATGTTTACCGTGTGTTATATAAATAACTTCCTGGCTCCTTCATTGAACATGTCTAGTCCAACATTTTTTCCCAATCAGTCACATCCTGGATCCAGTATATAAATCCAATATTGCATGTATGGTGCATAATTGTTCCAAAGGATCTTATTTTGTGAACTATATATATCAGTAGTGTACATTACCATATTATGTAAAGAGATCTACATATAAACAATGCAACCAACTATCCAAGTGTCATACTAACTAAAACCCACAATAAACCTTGAACAGTGAAAAAAAAAAATAGAAAAAAAAAAAAACGTAGTCAAATAGTTGACAAGGGAAAGTTCTTCCCTATAGTAAAGTCAGAGCTTATAGATGCTGATGGAATGAGAGACTTAGAGAAATCACTATTTTGTAACTCTTTAATGAAAAAGTGGATCTTGGCAATTATCATCAGTGGCTGCTAAAACTATTAGGTTAAAGATAATATCCTCAGTCTTCGTGGGTGAATAAACAACTGGCCTTGGTGACGAAATGGATTGAGAAAGAGAAGAAAAAGTCAACGACAACCACAGTTAAAAATTTCAAGCTGAAATTCAATAATGATACCACTGACAGACACGAAGTAGTGGGAAAGGGAAGATGGTATGAGAAAAAGTGGACTGTTAACACCGCAGTTGAATTTTGATGGATAGCAACTTTGCTGAGTATAAAGGAAAGAAAAAAACACCATTTCAAATTCTCCACAGAAGGAAAATACAGGCTAAATATGCTTCTGTCTTGGGAAAAGGAAGACAGTGCCCTCAGTGTACTTGAAAGTGTCTTAATACTGGAAAAAGCACCTAAAAGTATTCCTTCCAGATAGTTTTGACTCCTAATATGATATGTGTTTTCCATGTATTAAAGGGGATACCTATCCTTTTTAATATATCCTCTCTCATCTCTATTGAGGTATAACTTACATATAATAAAGCATAGATATATTAAGTGTTTCTATGAGTTTTGACAATTGCATACATCCATTTAACCACTACTCAAAATAAGACCTTATTTTTATCACCCCAGAAAGTTCCCTTAAACCTCTTTCCAGTCAATTCCCTTTCTCACCGTCCCCCTTCCACAGAGACAACTACTGTCCTGAATTCTATCGTCATATCTTGGTTTTGCTTGTTCCTTCAGATGAATAGAATCACAGATTGTACTCCTTTGTGTTTGGCTGTCCCTTTCCCCACTCAATGTTTCTGAGATTCATCCATAATGGTAGATGTACCAGTAGTCTGTTCCTTTTTAGAGCTGTATAATAGTCTATATGGTGCTGTAGAATAGTCTATACAGATTTCTCTCTACAGGTATAAAGAAATCACAATGTGTTTGTACATTCTTCTGTTGATAAGCATTTGAATATTTGTAGTTTTTGGCCATTATGAAAAAGGCTGACATAGATATTCTTAAACAAGCTTTTTTATGAACATATGTTTTAATTTCTTTTTCAGGTAAATATCTAAAAATGGAGTAACATGGTGACAAGTTAAATATATGTTTAATTTTTTAAGAAACTGTTAAACAGCCCTCCAATATGGTTTAATGTACCTTTTAAACTTTCCAACTACCACTCTTGAAGTGATAAACTTTATACACTCTGAAATTCTTTTAGGTATTTTGGGTTTGATTATTCCAAATGATTAATAATTTTTATCTATTTTAACTGACCACATATATTTTTGAGATATGTTATATATACTGTTGTTTGAGCTATTCAATATAGATGTTTCACAGGTAATATAATGCTTTTTTAAAAAGCCTCCAAACAATCCTTAAATAAAACACTTCAAGATGTGTTAACACATTACAAAGTTTCTGACAGAAACTCTGAAACAGAACTTCTTAATTTAGGCACTAGAAAAAAGATTGGGAAATAAACACAGAGGTTAAATTGAGCCTGTGTGAAAGCACCTGAGAAAGACCTTAGGTTAAATTTGCTTGGTAAGAAAATTATATTTATAAATTAGGCATGAACATTCAGTTTAATTTCAGTTCTTGTTTTATTCAGACTTTGTATTTCACCAAACGTTTTACTTCTCTTATCAAAGCTGAGATACTTACTTGTAGGGATGGGCTGAGACAGTCTCGTAGTATTTCCTGATGATTTGGTTCATGAACTATTTCAAAAATTTGCTTTCTCTCTTGTGCAGCGTGGGCTGGCGACAAAATATGCACTAGTAGTCTCCCAAGCTGCATTCGGAAGGTCTCCTTACAAGACCACAGAATTTTAGTCCATTGCTGCTTGGAACCACTGGCTTTACTTGAACCCTAAAATCAATCAAGATAGGAATGAATTAGGATCAGACTGCTTAAGCAATACCATGCTAGCCTCAACACAGCCCTAAAGAAGATTATGGAACACGTTTTATTCCAGATTGGTTTTAATAGTCAAAATTAGAAAGAGATATACATATCCATACACATAGGAGTTTAAAAGAGATGGGCATACAACATTCATAGCAGCATCACTCAAAATAGCCAAAAGGTGGAAACAGTCTGAACGTCCATCAGTGGATGAACAGATAAACAAAATGTGGTATATACATACAATGGAATATTATTCATCCTTAAAGAGGAAGGAAATTCTGACACATGCTACAACATGGATGACCCTTGAGGACATTATGCTAAATAAAATAAGCCATATATAAAAGGACAAATATTGTATGCTTCTATTTGTATGAGATATCTAGAACAGTCAAACTCACAGAGACAGAAAGTAGAATAGTGATTACTGGGTAATGGGGGAAGGGGTGGTAAAAGTTATTATTTATTGGGCACGGAGTTTCATTTGGGATAATTAAAAAGTTCCGGCCGGGTGTGGTGGCTCACACGTGTAATTCCAGCACTTTGGGAGGCCGAGGCAGGTGGATCACCTGAGGTCAGGAGTTCAAGACCAACCTGGACAACATGGTGAAACGCTGTCTCTACTAAAAATACGAAAATTGGCTGGGTGTGGTGGTGGGTGCCTGTAATCCCAGCTACTTGGGAAGGTGAGGTAGGAGAATCGCTTGAACCTGGGAGGTGGAGGCTGCAGTGAGTTGAGACTGGGCCACTGCACTCCAGCTGGGGAGACAGACTGAGACTCCATCTCAGAAAAAAAAAAAAAGTTCCTAGAGATGGATGGTGGCAATGGTTGCACAACAATGTGAATATACTTAGTGCCACTGAATGTATCCTTAAAAATGGTTAAAATGGTAAATTTTATGTTATATATATATATATATATCTTACCACAGTTTAAAAGAAGACATGGACAACGAAGCTAAAGTCCTAAGCCATGAAAAAATTACCAAAGGCTCAAAAATTATAAATTAAAAAAAAGCATCAAAGAACAATGATAAATAAGCCTACACTGATTTTGCAATAAAAAAGAGAAAGGATTCATAATAAAGACTTGAATTGTGCTACATTATTGAGTATAATAGTCACAAATTAAGCACTGCATATAGCAGTACCCCCTTACCTGTGGTTTTGCTTTCCACAGTCAACCATGGTCTGAAAATAGTTAAGTACCGTATAATAAGGTATTTACTCATTGTAAAAAGGGAGAGACTACATTTACGTAACTTTTATTAAAGTATATTGTTATAACTCTTGTTTTACTATTATTGTTAATCTCTTACTATGCTTAATTCATAAATTAGACTTTATCATAGGTATGTATGTATGTGAAAAAAAATAGTATATACAGGTTTCAGTACCATCTGTGGTTTCAGGCATTCACCAGGGGTCCTGGAATGTATCCTCTGAAGATAAGGGGAAACTACTCTATGGGTTTACCATAGAGTATTCCCTAACAATTAACCAATTGTTTTAACTATGGTCCCACTAAGCCTAGCCAAATGCTGATCAAATCACCTGTATCTGGTTCAAAACTGGAAGCAGTACATTCAGAATTCATTCTGAGTTTTAAAAACAGCTCCTCTCTAATTACATCTAGTCCTAAGGGCCCTGTTTGAGTGACTGAGTTCTAAGTGAATCTGTACTTGGTTTTGCTGTTCAGAGCTAAAACACCAAAATCTAGTTTAGATTTAGAGATTGACATGTCATGATTTACGAGTTCTGCTAGAATTAGATTGGCTTTTGCTATCTATAGAGTAAACTGACCGATTTGTTCCGTTGTGTCAACTGTAAGTGACCCGCAGAAACCCAAGTGAGATGATGATAAATGAACCCTGACACTTATCAGTATTCTCTACATAATTTTAAAGGTGTTAAACTTAGGCCAAGATCTAAAATTCATAATAATTAGAAAAATGAGAGTAAGTAGCCATAAATACAGTCCTTTAAAAAGAAATAGTTCATGTAAACTCCCATAGTAGTCATCAATGATGATGATCTACTCTTTTCTGATGCTGATCTTACTAAACAACACTAGAAAATGTCTTCTAGGGTTACAGGCTTAAAAAGCAATGCTTCATGAGTTGAGTCATTTTGGAAAGGTGAATTAGCAATATATATTATTCTATAATTAAAAATTCAAGTTGTCCGAGTTTTAAAAAGCTCTCTGAAAGAGCACAAAGAAATATGATTTTGAAAACGTATAATACAGTCAACATAAAACCTCTATTTCCTTTGTGTGAATGAACATTTCCCATGTAATTAATTTACTTACAATAGATACTTTGAATCCTTCTACCAGATATGTAAAAATTTCTTTCTGAAATGGATTGAAAACAGAAGACTGTTCATGATGAATATTTTCCTCAGAAATTTCGGTCTGGAAAACTGAGGTCTTGCTTTGAGTTACATTTTCTGGAGTTCTCAAAATGTCAATAATGTCTGAATTAAATTCTTTGAATTGAAAAAAAGAATACAAAATTAGTCATATCACTGCTATCTTGCCATTATAAATAGTAATAATACTGGTAAAAAATATTGTATTTAATTACTAATTCAGTTATCACAATTTAAATGTGTATCAGGTGTATTAGATGTAATAGATACAATGTAGTAGAAAGTGAATTTACGTAAAATAACAGAAATTTGAAAATGCATGTCATACAATTCCAAATTAAATATTTAATGGACTAATGAAGGTAAGTTAAACTGCAAAATGACTAAAACCATAAGATTATTATACAAATCAAACATAAAGATCATGTCATATTTACATGAGTGGATCTACAGAGCTGTTTCTCTGCATGTGCTATACATTTACGTGCTGTATATGTGATAATCATGGTTCAATTTCAGAGTTTAGTCTGGGAGTCTGTTGCACAGAATGTATATTAGAAAAGTGGAAAAAAAAAAATGCTGGGGACGATGGCTCATGCCTGTAATCCCAGCACTGTGGGAGGTGAAAGCACACAGATCACCTGAGTCAAGGAGTTTGAGATCAGCCTGGGCAACATGGTGGAACCCCATCTCTACAAAAAAATACAAAAATTAGCCGGGCATGGGGTGCACACCTGTAGTCACAGCTACTCAGGAGGCTGAGATGGGAGGATTGCTTGAGCCCAGGAGGTAAAGGTTGCAGTGAGCTGAGATCATACCACTAGCCTTGGTGACAGAGTGAGAACCCATCTCAAAAAAAAAAAGAAAAAAAAAAAGAGAGAAAGAAAAGTAAAAAAAGCTAAAAAAATAATAATAACTTGAGTTTATCATGTTTTTCTAGTCATTAACAATTACTGTTTTCTTTTTCCTGTCTTCCTCGGGTTACCTGAACATTTTTTTAGAATTCCATTTTGACTTATCTATAGTGTTTTTTAAAAAACAATCTTCAGCTTTATTGGAATATAATTGACAAATAGAAATTGTATATAATTAAGGTGTTTTGATATATGAATACATTGTCAAATAATCACCATAATCAAGCTAGTTAACATATCTATCACCTCACATAGTTACCACTTTTTTTTATGTGTGATGAGAACATGATTTATAGTGCTTTGGAGTGTATTTCTTTGAATAGCTTTTTTTAGTGGGTGCTCTAAGTATTACATTTTAAGTTTGTACATATATATTCATTAGCCAATATGGAAATGCAAATTAAAACCACAATGAGATATCACTACACATCTGTCAGAATGGCTAAAATAAAAAATAGTGACAACAACAAACACTAGGTAAGGATGTAAAAAAACTTGGACCACTCATACACTGTTGATGGAAATGTAAAACTACAGCCACTCTGGAAAAGTTTGGCAGTTTCTTAAAAAACTACACATGTAATTACCGTATGACCCAGTAACTGCACTCCTGGGCACTTACCCCAGAAAAATAAAGACTTATATTCTTACAAAACCTGCACATAAATGCTTACAGAAGCTTTATTTGTAATAGCCAAAAACTGGAAACAACCCAGATTCATACATCCATACCACAAATATCACTCAGCAAGAAAAAAAGGAACTATTGATATATGCAACAACCAGAATGACTCTCCAGAGTATTACACTGAGTGAAAAAACTAATTCCAAAAGGCTACATACTGTACGCTTCCATTTATATAACATTCTTGATGAAACAAAAATATACAAATGGAGGACAGATTAGCAGTTACAGGGCTGAGTGGCTGGGGGTGAGAGGAAAGTGGGTGTGGCTAAGAGAAGGGCAATATGAGAGATCCTTGTGGTGCTGGAAATGCTGCTGACTGTATCGATGTTACTCACCTGGTGATGATATTATACTACAGTTCTGCAAGATTCATGGGGGAAACTGGGTAAAGGGTACACAGGGTCTCTCTCTGTATTATTCCTTAACTGCATGTGAATCTACAACGATCTCAAAAGATCATACTGGAAGTGCCATATGGTTTTAAACTGGTCAGTCTGGGCTAGCATCGAACACATTCAAAGTGGACTTTTATTCAAGACTTATCAGTTCCAAATAAGAAACTCTTAATACTATGGATGTTAAGAACTGAAAAATAATGCTGCTTAAACATCTGAAAACCAACCAGTTTCCTCTTAGATTACTTCTCTTTCATTTTAAAATCTGAGGAAAAACAAACTAATCCTATAGTCTTACCTTGATAAATAATCCTGTTGACTGCTAAAACAGTGAGCCTCTGTAGTCTCTGCGCAAGTTCCGTTTCAGTTGCTTGGCTAGGGTTCTCTTGGCTCATTCTCCGTTGCATCATCACATGAAGCTCATCATTTGCCACTGAACGCATTTTCATCAGAAGCGATTCAGTTTGAGCAAGGGGAAATTTTCGAGGACCTTTAAAAGTATATAAATTAAAACATCAAATCCCAGTGTTAATAAGGATCAAGGAAACTATTTTTGCTGAAATTTTTTGATTACCAGACCATGAAAACAACCTTATTTACTACAAAGTCAATTTATAGAAAGGAAAGAGTGATTAAGAGAAAATGATGCTTCTCCCTCTTTGAAGAAGTGCAACAGTACTTTTGGTTTCAAAGTCCTAAATAACAATGTTGAAGCTAGTGACACAGCTTAGTAAAACAGATGTCATTTGGCAAAGTTCGAGTTAAAAAGTATTAAATGGGCTCAAATAGTTCAGAACATTTTGATAAAATAGTTTCAAATACTGTTTCACTTCTTTGTATTCCAAAATCAAGTTTTAATGCACATAATTTTTTAGTAAGAATACTACTATTTCTGGGTAATTACTGTTGTTGAATTTCATAAAGTAGTTTTAAAAACTGTGTATAGTGACAAAGTAGAAATCAGTCAATGAAAGTGAAGAGATCAGGAAGGTGAATATAATTCCAGTGATTTGTTATTAAAATGATTTAAAACATATGCATCATTTGGAATTCAATGCTACAAAAGCATTTCCTGAGAAAGGTTTCCTCAGACTGAACAGAGAGGAGTGGCATTCCTGCACCATTACTGCACCTGCTCCAGGAGGTACAACACAGGTAGTGCATCCAGGAGAAAACTGGGGGGATGAGTCTTGATTTAATGGACCGAAGGAGAAGGGCATCGGAAGTTGACCATAGGAACCAAAATGATGTCTTGGTAGATGAGGAATAATGGAACCCTTCATTGGAATTGAACCTTTGTTTTAAATTATGAAAACATATATCAATTTCTATAAATAACCTCTACAAAAATTACTTACATATGACTAAATTATAACAGGTTTTAAAGACTTATCCTGTAAGATATTTAAATATTTTAATGCTATTTTAGATTGCTCAGTATTTTGGGTAATTAGTATTCTTAATCAGTTAATGTATTTTGATAGTCACTTTTGAGGCAAAAAAAAAAGAAAATACAAAAATTCATATCCTGTATATATTCAAGAGTTTTACTGTCAAACAATATACTTAGTTTAAGCAGATTCTTCCTAATGTCTACATCTGACAGCTTTCATGCTGTACGTGCAGCTGATGATTGTAATTCAGCGGTATGATAATACACTGAATAAGGAAATGTTAAGTAAGTCTTCTTTAGTACTAGGTATTAATACTAGAAAACGTGGGAGGGTATTTCAGCACTCCTGCTATGAAGCCACACAGAGCTAGTGTGGCCTTAAGCACATTTCTTTCTAAACCTCAGTTTTCTCATGCATAAGATGTGGATTAGAAAGAAAACAGAGCTTACTTCACCGGTAGATATTTATCACTATCTAACATTATATTAAATATATTTGTTTATATGCTTATTGATCATTTTCCCCAGTACAAGTTCCATGAAGACTGATAAAATAGCAACTGGTACATGGTTGGTACTCAAGAAATATTTGATGTTTGAGGGCTGAATAAACGGATAAAGAAAGAGTTGTTTTGTTGATAAAATAAAATAATGAATATAAAACATAATGCCTGTCTCATTCTCACAAATAATAAAATACTTTTAATGGTTAGTATTATTATTGGCTGAAATATAAAGTTCATTTGTATGTGAATTACTAATTTAACTGTGTGTATGTGCGAGTGCATGGCAATTTAAATATATGTCTAGCATTCTAAATAATATCCTAATGCTGACTACTTCTACCTTCATGCATTAAGGGTGATGTGTAAAGTTTTTCATACTAATAAGCAGACAAGTAAAAAAATACATTTAAAAGTATATATTGCTACCTTATTTATAATAGCAAAAACCAAGCAAAAAAACCTTTGTTTATCTATAAAAGTTACAGAAGATTATCCACATCAAAATAATAGATTATTTTGTAATCATTAAAAATAAAAGAATATTTATGTTTCTTAATATGGAAAAATATCTATAATGACCAGAAATAGAAATCAATTTATAAACAGTAGGTAGAGCATGATACCATTTAGGTAAAATTACATATAAAGATATGTATAGATATAGATATCCAGACCAAAAACAGATATAGAGGTTAAGGAGTCAGAGCTTTGTTCACTGGGCAGCAGGCAACTTGGAACTGCTGAGCAGAAGAATGGTAAACCTGAATGAGGTTGTAAGATTAATCTGACAATAAAATGGTATCTAACTCCTCTAGCAATGCAAGAACTTAAGGTCTAGATGTAATGACGGTACTGCTGAAGAAACTTTGGTTCCAAGTCATGGATATCCTGGGGTTCAGGGCTTGAGTAAATTTGTCTATTATCAGAGTCTGGTGTGTGGCCATAATGCAAGCTGCAGCTGCTGGCAGTCCCCACAACTCCTGCTGAAGGTGAAGGGTAGTGGCAGTGGGGCTGGAGGTGTCACTCATCTCAGTAGTTTTCAACAAATGCTAAATGAATCTATTTAGGAATCCCCCCTACCACACCTAAACATTTATCAGTAAAGAGAACGGCTTGAGTCTTTGAAGGAACAATTCATTACCTAATTGATAGACATGACAGAAATAGAAATCCCTCTATGTCCCTTTAGTATCATGGACAAATGGACTTGAATTAGTTTTTGTAACCACACTGCTCAGAAACAGAAGAGCTTCAGTATTCTGCAGTTTTTGTACCTGTAGCATACAAAGCCAATATACTTTTGAAGATACTTTTAAGTAATAGTGGAGAAATAAAAAGCACAATCTTCTCCAAGTATATGTGTAAAAAAACAACTTAGAAACAATTAGAAAGCAACAACCGAACACATATAAAGTGGTATTTTGCAAACTAGATTCACAAAGACAGAATTTCAATAAGGGTAGTACTTAAAACAGGAAGGATTCTTGAGAGAGACTTCAGAGAGAGAGAGAGATGGGTCCTAAGAGATACCATAGACCTGGGATGAGTAGATGTGGTGCAGGACACAAAGGGGTGAGTATAGGGGTGCATGTGCCAGCAGTCCCCAGTTCTAGGATGCAGTGGGTCTTAAGATGAGGAAGCTGGACTGGATGACTTTTAAGGTCTTTTATTAAGCTAAAAACTTGTAGGATTCTGTAAGTCTCCTATAGCTTGCAGCAATCACATTTACTTAGAGTGAAAAAGACAAGTCCAAGTATAATAAGCAGCTACAGAAGTCAGAAAAAAGGACAGCCATCTAGTGAAAAGACTAAAAGTTCATTATCTGTTTTAAAATGACTCAAACTAAAAAAAAATAATAAACTTGAAGTTACGTAGGGCTCTAAGGCTCAAGGTGACAAAATGCTAGTATCTAAAGAGAGAGACTAAAGACTGCTAGAGAAATCATTGACCAAATGGGAAATAGCAAGAGGACTATTGTGTTAGCCCAGGCACAAGGTGATAATTAACTAAAACCAGAGATCTAGAGATGGAAGCAGAGGAGGAACAGATGTGAGAATGAGAAGTATCAATACAAAAGAAACAGCAGGGGTAGTAAAGGTATACTTTCTGATATCAAGAGAGGGCAAATTCCATCTAAGCAGTCACTGACTACATAAGGAGTCCTGCAAAGGAAAGGTGTCCAGCAATCATGTTTTGGCATGCAGGAAGCTGAGCACTAATGCTAGAACTGATAAAGAATCTGTTTCTACTCAGGACAAAAGAGATGTACAACTGGGAGGGCAGCTCAAGAAGAGACAGTGCATTCAGATATTAAATAAGGAAGAATGTAGAGGGCAGTAAGTTTAGTTACATAGATGTTTTAGAAGTTTTATTTATATAAGTTTGATTTAGCATAATTTAAACATACTACTGCAAAACAATGGGTACTTGGTAGCTTTTCTTTACAAGTGAGTTTTTCACATGGTTTAAAATTTTTGCATAGCATTGAACACAGAAGTAGCTTAACACGGGTGAAAGAAAGATTTGAACTTAAGTGAATTTAAGACAGTAAGAGTGATTAAATTTCAAACAATTTACCAAATACTCTGGAGATGGTGTGTGTGTGTGCATGTGTACATGCATATTTATCCACTATGTATATATATGTATGTGTGTATATCCTGTGTATGTGGTGTTCATGTTATCTTTCTGGGTAAAGATGATAGCAGATTTTGTAGAAAAAATAAGGAAGACTAACAATATTAATGTTTATTATTTGATGACATTCTTCCTTATTTAATATCTGAATGCACTGTTTCTTCTTTAGCTGCCCTCCCAGTTGTACATCTCTTTTGTCCTGAGTAGAAACAGATTCTTTATCAGTTCTAGCATTAATGCTCAGCTTCCTGCATGCCACAACATGATTGCTGGACACCTTTCTCAGAGACTTCCCTAACTCCTGATGTAGATTGCCCTGTTATAATCTCTATTCCTACCCTCTACATTTCCCTACTATTTTACAATCTCTGCAGGGGCAGAATCTGTGTCTGTTTTTTTCATCATTGTATCTCCAATATTTAGCACAATGCTCAGCACATGGTAGGCAGGTGCTCAAGAAATAACTGAATGAGAAAAGCACTAAAAGTAAGGAGCAGAATAGTTTCCTTCAGGAAAAAATCTTTCTTAAATTTTATGTAAAACAAGAAATATTTTAAAAGTGTGAATGGCATAAGAACATAGGAAAGTCAAGCTAGCCTCAATTTATGGTTATTAAAATATGATTTCAATACTCGCCAGCAATGCTTTTCCGCTTTTGAACTACTGCATGATGGGGAGCAGAAGGTGACTGGAGTGAATCTGTGAGGTTTTCAGAGTCATGATTTGCGGTGGTCCTTATAAATTCCATAGCAGCCTGGAGAACTCTAAGCTGTAGTGCAACAGCCATATCTAAAAACAGAAGATACTAGAATGTTTTCAAGCTATGTGGTTACTAATTTTTTAATTGAACTGATTTTATGTATCATGACAATAATGTTTTGATATAAATTTTTAAATTTTGATCAGCATGGGGATGATGGTAGTAGACATTTTTAAATTCTTGTTAAAAGCAATTTTAAAGCAAATTTACAAATGGTCACTAAAAAACCTTCAATGGAAAAATATTAGCTCATAAATTTATTTCATTTTAAAAATTGTTTCAAAGAACAGGCTTTTTTTCTATATAAGGCAAAAGTTTAACCGGCAATTATCATATTTTTTGTTTCATATTCACTTTAATAATTACCATTAAAGAAAACTAAAGGGTATTACTATGCAACATACACTTTTAAATTCTACTTGGTAAGAAAAATCAGTGACATCTTTCACTTATGTATTGCCAACTACTAACTACATGGGGGAATCACTTTTTCTATTTTTGCCACTTTTTCAAGCCTTTTTAGGCTTCTTTTTAAAAACTGATAGATACTATTACAAAATTAATGTTAAACTTTTAGTAAAAGAGTTTCTAAGAAGAAAGAGATTGTGCTCAAATAACAGGTTTGTCTGTTATACAACTCCCTCCCCAAATTCATAAAAATTAAATCTTACTTTGTGTCCTCTTGTTTTTGCTATTTTGAAGATATCCAAGCATTACAATAAGGTCTTCAATAACCCTAAAATATTGTGAGCCTGAGGAACTGCAAGCATGAATTGTAACTGCTATGAAAAGTTGCTGTATATCACAAGCAAGCAATTTATATTCACTCATGGGAATGCTAAAGATAACAACAAAAGAAGAAAACAGAACATTTATAAGAAAAAGAACAAATAATTTAAGACACAGCTAACTGATTTAAATGGTTTAAATTCCTGTTCGACCAGCTTGCACTCATTCATGCAGTCATTCAGTATTTATTCATGCTTATTCTATGGCAAGTAATATGTAGTATGTATGCTAGAAATAGAAATAAGATACACTTTGACACCTGTCAGAAATACATAGTTTTACAGAGAACTGGACAAGTAAACAGATTACTATAAATAGTAAATGGTTGTAAGTGTAACACTAGAGATTAATACACGATACTATAAGAACACATAGGCAGTTTCTAGTCCACACTAAGGATGAAGATTGTGTGGGTATGAACAGGAACATTCTGCGAAGACTTTTCAGAGAAGGTGAATTTGACTAAATTAATTAACCTCTCTGAATCTCACTTGTATAAATTAGGGTTATTTTTAGGACTAAAAGAGGTAATAGATTTGCATTTATATTATTTATAAATATCCAATAAATATGAATTAGTTACTTCTGGTCTTCAATCTTAATCTTGATAATCTACCTCAATGTACGATATTAGGCCTACAATGCTTCTCTCCATCTGGGTTTTCCAAATCAAGAAAGGGTTAGAAACTAACTTGGGCCAGTTAATAAAGTAGCATACAGGGACATTCAGTAAATACAATTTCTTGCTTTTTTTTTCTTTCTTTCTGTTATTATTATTTTTTTACTTTTATTTTAGGTTCAGAGGTACACAGAAAGGCTTCTTACATAGGTAAACTCATGTAGTAAAGTAAACTAATACTAAAGTTTTCCTGTTCTAAAGTATTTATCAGATGTAATTTTAAATAATAATTTTAAACTTACTTCTTTTCTAATCCATTCAGGGCTGCTACTGTATTACATAACACATAGAGTAGACCATTATCCAGCAACATATCTGCTACCTTAGAACAAGAATTTAAAATTTGGAGAAGAAGTAAAAGAGCATTATGCAAGAGTATGTTGTCATATAGAGAGGTCTCTATTAGTCCCAGAATAGGAATGACAGACCACTTCTGAAACAATCCCATGTTTCTCACATCTTCCAGATCAAATCTATAATAAATAATACAGTTAAGAGCACATTAGAAACAATCACAAAATAAGAAAATATGATAGCAACTATGGGTCATCTTGCTAACTTGATTTTGAAGTCATAAAAACAAGTTGGGGGAGTAAGGATTCTTAACCTGTTTTTAAAATGACAGAGTCCCTCCAATAATAGGGTAAAAGCTGTTGCTAGAAGTCCATCCCAAGATAAATACACAAACATTCAAGTGAAATATGCATACAATTTCTTGGTTTTAACTGATTTATTTTAATTCATCCATGAGCCCTTTATGTCCAAAGAAACTATGTTTGGGGGCTTCAAGTGCACAGGAAAATTATTATTATTATTTTACATAGTATTTGAGAGACAGTGAGCTAGTAAAAAGAGGTCTAGCAAAAGGGAATGATTCTCGAGTTCTTATCCCAATACAACTTGCCTCTGGGATGGAATGAAATTAGCTAAGTATTTTGTGCCTCATTTTCCTTATCTGTCAAAAATATGTGGTGATATATGTCCTCTTTTCTTCTCAAGGCTATTGTGAGAATCAAATAAAGTAATGCACAATTGTTTCGTGAAAGCCAAAAGTTGTATGTAAATGAAAAGTAGCATTGAAACTACCATAACAATTTAGTAAATTCTTTAAGGTCTGAATTTGTCTATCACAATAAGGAGACACACGTTTCTCTCTATTCTATCATAAACAGAAATTACAGCTTAATTTCTGCCAAACTTTTGGTTTGGGAGAAAAATATTCTTTTATTTTTACACTTATTTGCTAATCCATCAGCATTCTACCAGGGTCAAAACTCAGCAATCAGTGTATCCAGGAATTCTAGGTGAGGGATTTACTCCTCTCCCAGATGACCTGAAGGCTCTGAGGAGAGTAAGGCGTTCCTATATGGATCCTTTATGTAATCTGTCACTGAGAATACATGAGCTATCTTTTTTTCTTTTCTTTTCTTTTTTTTTTTTTTTTTTTTGAGATGGAGTTTCACTCTTGTTGCCCAGGCTGAAGTGCAATTGTGCAATCCTGGCTCACTGTAACCTCTGCCTTCTGGGTTCAAGCGGTTCTCCTGCCTCAGCCTCTCAAGCAGATGGGATTACATGAATGTGCCACCACGCCCAGCAAATTTTGTATTTTTAGTACAGACAGTTTCATCATGTTGGTCAGGCTTGAACTCCTGACCTCAGGTGATCCACCTGCCTCTGCCTCCCAAAGTGTTGGGAGTACAGGCTTGAGCCACCACGCCCAGCCTCACCTGTCTTTTCAGTTAATCTTCTCATGTTAATACTATCTGCCAAATCTTAGCTATCACTTTCATCTGATGCAGCTTTTATTTGTTTCTAGTTTCTAACTAGTGAATGAACTATAAAGGATGAAGTTATATTAGAAAGAACATCATATGGCAAATAATACATTGATTTACCTGGAAAATTACTTTTAGCAGATTTTTTCTAAAGGTGACCAAAAGATTTCGTTAAGAGTGAGTTCACTAAATTTTACATTTAAGACAAAAGACCTTGCCGGGTGTGGTGGCCCACACCTATAATCCCAACACTTTGGGAGGCCAAGGCAGGAGGATGGCTTGAGGTCAGGAGTTTGAGACCAGCCTGGGAAACACTGCAAGACCCATCTCCACTAAAAGTAAAAAAAATTAGCCAAGTGTGGTGGTGCGTGCCTGTAATCTTAGCTACTCAAGAGGCTGAGGCAGGAGGATCCCTTGAATCTAGGAGTTCAAGGCTGCAATGAGCTGAGGCATGACTGTGTCTCTCTGCACTCCAGCCTGGGTGACAGAGTGAGACATTGTCTCAAAAAAAAAAAAAAAAAAAAAAAAAAAAGCCAGGCATAGTGGCTCACACCTGTAATCCCTGCACTTTGGGAGGCCAAGGCAGGCAGATCACGAGGTCAGGAGTTTGAGACCAGCCTGGCCAACATGGTGAAACCCCATCTCTACTAAAGATACAAAAAACTAGCCGGGCATGGTGGTACGTGCCTGTAATCCCAGCTACTCAGGAGGTTGAGGCAGGAGAATCGCTTGAACCTGGGAGGCGGAAGTTGCAGTGAGCCGAGATTGCACCATTGCACTCCAGCCTGGGCAACAGGGCGAGACTCCGTCTCAAAAGAAAAGAAAAGAAAAGAAAAGAAAAGAAAAGAAAAGAAAAAAGACAAAAGATTCCCAATTATAGTGGAGGGAAGAACACACTTACTCTTCATCAAGGCCAATATGTCGACCAAAGAACATTTCGATGAAGCATTCTAACAATTCTTGAGTTCCTCGATGAAGATACAACTGGTTGGCTAGCAAGGAAAATCCACGATTCTTCAGAAATTTATCTTTTTGTTCCTTAGATGCTCTAGCAAAATATGCATCTAATAGCTAAACAAAAAATTTAAGTCAATTTAGATAATGCATTAAAATTAAATATAATATATACAAATCAGTGTAACACAACTGTATTTGTAAATTAAGTTCATATGTACAGAAGAACACAGAAAGCTTAAAAAAATGCCACCACCACAGCAAAGCAGAAATGAATTTGTCTTTGGCTACTGTGGAATGCTAATGATGACTCCATCTTGGAGATCTTAATGTTTCTCTCATGGGGAAACTGGCATTTTTAGCTGAGCATGGACACCTGGTAGACTGGCAGCCTTAGTTGAGTATAAATAGAATATTTGTACCTAATGCTGAGAGGGAAAAAATCCGTAAACTATGCTCTCTCTGCAAATCTATATCTATATCTATATCTATATCTATATCTATATCTATATCTATATCTATATCTATATCTGTATCTATATCTATCCTAGACCTCTACTTCTAGGCTTCTTGACAGATTATTTATCCTGAGCACAGGCCTGAATTTCCACCCTTCTCTAGCATCTTAAATGCAACACGTGTAATACCAAATTAATCCTTCCACCTCTTTCTCCCCTTCAATGACTCTCACAGTAGTGATAGACTCCTTTCCCCCAGACACACATCTATTTATTCCCCTACTAAAAAAGCTTTCTAAGTTTACAGCATAACACAAAATATACTTTTTCCATGAATCCTTCCGTTTCCCCTATGCTCAATTCTCTATTAATACTGCCACTGCAGTACTCATCACAGAATTTCTTACGTTTTACTTAGTTAAGTATGAGACTCTCCCTTCTAGACTGTGAAATTCTTGAATGTAGGGGCTTATATTATTTCCCTTTATATACTATATTGCAACTAGCTCAGGGACTTACACATGAAATGCGAGCTCAATACTAGGTTGTATTGCAAGTGATTAAACAATACCTACATCCAAGCAAACTAAAGAAAAATGAGAATCTTTACAAGATTATTTTAATATTGGGTTGTTTTCTAATGGAAACTATTCATATCAAGCATTTACTCATTCAATAATATACTTAGTACCTATTACACAAGATGCCCACCCTCATGGAGCTTATATTTGTGAGAAATTTAAAAAACAAGTACACAGATTAATAAGATAATTACAAGACATAAATAGGATGCTATGATAGAATAAATAATAAGTAAGATTAGAGGGAAGTTATTTTGATAAGATCATCAGGGAAGGTCTTTTTGAAAAGGTGTCATCTAAGCTGAGAGCTGAAGTAAATGTCTAAAATTTGATAGTACACTGAAGAAGAGATTTCCAATGAACCACGTATTCCTTGTAATTTTTACAAAAGAGATTTACTAAGTGTTCAGATATGGGGATTTATTGGTAGATTTAAAAGACATATTGATATGAACCAACATATGGAGGGGGACTTAAAGCTGGATGATGCAAAAATATGACCATGTAACCAAAAACCCCTGTATCCCTAAAGCTATCAAAATAAAAAAAGTTTAAAAATATATGAGTATTAAGTAACAAACTATATTAGTTCATTATTCTAAAATATAAAAGAGAGATTTAGGTCTACTTTAATGTATATACTCAAAATTTTAAATTACATATATATTTATTTTTCTGAATTAAAATAACATATCTAGTATTTGCCCTTACTTTAATAACACCTTGTTGTATAGCTGGTGATGGGTGGTTAACGAGGACCAAAAGTGTATCTGCTTGAATAAGCTTGTCCATCACATCTTCAAGCAAAACATCAGGCAGGATAAGAAGAACCCCACTTAGGAGTTCATATAATCCACAGCATATAGGTACCAAACAGTCTTCAGTTACACTAAAACAGAGACCAAAAAAGTCTTACTAACATGACAAGAAAAGTACTTGATGATTACCTTAGGAACTGTGACAAGTAGTAGCATTTTTTAACAGGTGAAACAAATGTTCATAATGCTTAAGAAATGTTTCCTAATTTAACTGTGATTAACAAATTTACCATCACTTTTTATCATTGATTTTTTTGGGCATATAGTCTACTAACACTATTCAATTGTACATCTCTGATGTCTAATACAGTAGTCACTGTCACTTATGCTATTTATTTAAACTAAAAATTCAGTTCCTCAGTTGCATCAGCCACATTTCAAGTGCTCAGTAGGCATATGTGGCTAGTGCTGACTGTATTAGACAGCATGAATAAAACATGTCCATCATTGCAGAAAGTTTCACTGGACATTGCTACTTGAGATGCTATTGGAAATGTTTTTTTTTTTTTTTTCACCAAGGAAGAAACAGCTTTATTAGGAGTCTAGGCATGTCAGAAAAACCCAGTTCACTCACAGAGAAGAGAGGCAAATATTGGTACAGGGGAAGAATCTAGCATTACAGAATATCCTCTCAAGAACCAAGTGTGAAAATAAAACCTCCATCTAAATATCCTAACAAATGCTGCTGGGTTTAGCCCAGGTGAAACTTCTGGAAGCTCCTGGTGAAAGGAGATTTTTTTCATAAAAGGAATGCTCTCTAGCACTGCTGCATTTCAGCTCCATATAAAGTTATGGGTCTGCGATAGCAGAAGTAGAGGAAAATATAAGGGGGATATCTCATCACCAAAGCAAGGTCATCTGTGTCCAGGTGACAGAGGAACCTTAAGTTTCTGGAGAGAGAACAAACTGGGGTAGCAGAAGGAAAATGGCTGAAGAAATACAACGCCTAGGCAATGTCTGTCATAACATGGAGGACTCTGTGCAGTCTGGTGACAGCCTGTCCTGGGAAACACTGGTATTGCTTTCTGAGGCCATTTTAGCTTTCTTCTGACTTCATCCAGAGAAGAACTGCCAATGTTCAGCACTAAGACCTGCATTATAATTACCTGAGTGGAATGGAGCAGCCACCCTATGACACCTGTTCCTCTTCCCTTCTGGAGCCGTCACTTGTCTCTGATCAAGTAAGATGTTACTCAGGACAGGCCCAGTCTAGAAATCACTCCCACCTTCACATGAGCACCAAGTGGACAGAATCATTCTCATGAGTCAAAGCTCTAGATAAATCCTATCGTTTCTCTGTCCTGAAGAATTTTCCTTAATAACTATAAGGAATTAAACCACAATATATATTTTTTAAGTGCTACTTATGGTTTAGATTTTGGTTAAATATGGAATTCAATATTATCTAGTCTTAAAATAAGGAAAAATATATCTTTCTGTTTGTTATTATTATGTATATAAAGAAATAAACTTTTCTGTTTGTTGTATTATAAGTGGCATAATGAAGACGTTTCCAGAGGGGTAGAGAGTCTTTAAAGAATAGTAAAATAAAGGTGGGAGGAGTGTACAAAAACACATAAGTACCTGTGAGCACTTGCAGTTCGGTTGTAATTTGGCTCATAACCAAGAGAATAGGCAAAGTTTTCCCAATCATCAGTGTTTCTATCAACAAGACTTGGCCAACGGCCAACAGCTGCAGATCCGTTCTGTGAAGGAAAAGCTAGCCCAAGGCTTGCAATAGTGCTGTGGCTTCGCTGGAAGGAGGCCAATCCCTTTAGGTAATCAGGTCGGCGTGGGCAGGACTCATCCCCAGGACTGTCATCTTCTGACCTGGGTTCTGCTCCCAACTGTTTATGATCTGCTTTGACCACTGGAAATCCCAGCACTCCCTTTGGGACATCACTGACAGAGACCTGGGCTGAGAGGACAGCTTCCATTTCACAAACAGTTTTTGCAGACTCACAGCTACTGATGAATGCGTCCTCTTTGCCTTTTTTCAGTGTGTCGGAACTCCCCAAAGAATTTTGTTTCTTTGATTGGGTGGCAACATAAGTATCTGCAATATTTTGTAACCTGTCGATACTACAACCCAAACTTCCAGTCAGTTTTTGTGATTGCGTTAGTAGTGAAGAAGTAGGGAATGCTGGTAGGCTTCTAGAACGCAGCATATGGGCGGCCATCTGTTGTGGAATAATATTAGAGGAATTCTCTCCTGGTAAGAGTAGATACAAAAATACTACTTAAAAATCTATTAAGTGGAACCACCTCTCTTTTGCATTATAAATCACAACCACAGCAAAAGCCCATTTATCTAGCACTGTTAAAATCCATATAGGTTAATTTTACAAGTAACTAATGCTTAAAATTCCTTTACTTTTTCTTAAGAGACAGGGTCTTGCTCTCTTACCTACTGAAGTGCAGTGACACAATCACAGCTTACTGCAGCCTCTAACTCCTGGACTCAAGACAGCCTCCCACCTCAGACTCCAAGCAGCTGGGACTATAGGCATGCACCCCACACCTGGCTTAATGCTTAAAATTCTTAAATGCCAAAACTATTTTTATTTTAACCACTTTTTATTAATATCTTCCCAAAACATATGTTTTTTCCTGTCTTCTTAACAAAATACAGTATTGACTGAATGATTCAAAGTCATTAGGATTAATGGTTCTACTGTGCTGAATTTAAGTGAATTAAGTGAAACTCAATTTACCTCAGGCTAGCAGTTACCAGGATGTAGTGGAAAGAGTGTGGGCTTTGCAACTAGATATAATTGGATTCAAATGATAGTGAAGTGGTCCAAGGTAAATCACTTAATTGTACTACAGTTTCTACAAATGTAAAATGAGGGTTCAGAATATCTACTTTGCAGGGTGGCTTTAAAGATTGAGATTATATTTGTGATGCACCTAGCATAGAGCTCAACATATAACAGGTGCTCAAAAAATGGTAGTACTTGTTGTTACTAGCCTAAACAGCCCTAGACAGTTCTCTCTCTCCTCCATTTTTGCAGTCACTTCTTGCTGTTATTAGTGAGAATAGTTTCTTTTCTTGTCACAGCTCTCTAATTTACTGCTTCTAATATTCTATGCAGGAAGACACCAGAAAAATTATTTTCATTGTAGTGCATGGGATACAAGTGCATGCCATTCAAGGTGTGGTCTGTGGACTGGTAGCATGGGCATCAATACCACCTGTGGGATTGTTGGGACTTCACATTCTCAGGCTCCACCCTAGATCTACTGATACAGAATGTATGAGAGAGGGGCCCAGGAATCAGTGTCAACAGCTCTCCAGGTGATTCTTTTGCAGGTTAAAATTTGAGACCATGAACACAGAGTAAACAGGCATTAAATGAACTGCTTTAGAGCATAGACTCTGTGGCAATAAAATAGCTCCATAGCTCAGAATCTTTTTCTAGTTATTTCTGGATTTGGGCTAGAGGGCTAAAGTTGCCAAAAGATTCTCTTCAAAAGATCTGGAAAAAATGGGGGTATGATTGTATTTGAAAATGTTTCAACATGACAGATGATTTAAAAAACAAATATGTCCTGTAAAATTCCAAATAAAACTAATTCAAAAAGGCCAGGTGCAGTGGCTTGAGCCTGTAATCTCAGCACTTTGGGAGGCAGAGGTGGGTGGCTCACTTGAGCCCAAGAGTTCAAGACCAGCCTGGGCAAAAAGGCAAAACCCTATCTCATTTATTTAAAAAAAATTTTTTTTAAAAAGAAAAGGAAAACTAATAAAAACATAGCCTTAAAATATTATTATAAAAGAGCATAAAAAGTGCTAGAGAATAACTGAAACACTTTGGCAGGAAAACAAAACTAGAGACTAATACCTATATATCTAGTTCTATCTATCTCTATTACCATCTCACCTGCAGTATTTAATAATTAGGATTGAAGCTAAAGACAAGACTAGGTTGGACTGACAATAAGAGCAATGTCCCAGTATGGAAAAGGACAGTAGTCAGGAAAGGAAAAGATGTATGGTCAGTTTGCAACTAGAAAACCTGCACCTATTCTTTTCTTCTATAAAGTAGCGATGAGACTCTGTTAAGAGTCAATTAGGAAGATAGAAAAGTACTGTAGGCTTAAAGACTTGAATACACTTACTATGGAAATAGAAGAGGGTATTGATTCTGAACATACCTAAAAATTACAGGGCAGCCTTTAAAGCTCTGCTACAACTTTCAGCAGTATGACAATGGTTAGACTGAGGCGAGGTTAGCATTTTTCAGTTCAAGAATACCAATAGGCTAAGGGGACAAGGAAACTGAGATACTTTCCAACTGAGTAACTGCTGAAGTTATTGGCTAATGTGACCTAGGCTGGATAGGGAAAGCGAGACAAGGGGAACTTTGGAGTGTGATTAAAAAAAAAACAAAAAAAAACCAGAAAGATGGGAGGCTGTCAATTAGAGAGGATGAATGCATCCCCTTTGCCTTTTTTCAGCATGTCAGAACTCCCCCAAAGGATTCTGTTTCTCTGGTTGGCTGGAGGGCTAATGATACAGAAAGATTCTGTTCAAATGAGAACACGTGGACACAGGAAGGGGAACATCACACACCAGGGCCTGTTGTCGGGTGGGGGGAGGGGGGAGGGATAGCATTAGGAGATATGCCTAATGCTAAATGACGAGTTAATGGGTGCAGCACACCAACATGGCATATGTATACATATGTAACAAACCGGCACATTGTGCACATGTATCCTAAAACTTAAAGTGTAATTATAAAAAAAAAAGATTCTGTTCAAAAGACTTGGAAAAGAAATGGAGCCATGATTGTACAGTATTTGAAAATGTTTCAGAGTGATGCATGTGATTGAAAAACAGATCATATGGATAGAACAAAGCGGGATATTGTAGTTTCACAGGTGCTTGAAAGCATTCTTGATGATGATAAAGTCCAAGACAGATGCATGCAGAGCGGTAAGACAAAGTAGAGAAAAGGTACCCTGAGTCAAAAAATGTGAAGCTGGAGTATTGGGTGGCCATTTATCTGGCAAGTGAAGTTGTCCAGAATGATGGTTTTAGGTAGACAGAAGAGAATAAAAGTTTTTAAAAAGCTTCTGAAGAAAATGGTAAAATAAATCAGAAGCTTGATGAAAGACAAATGACTATGATAAGAGAAGTCAGAGAATGCCAGAACAAGATAGCATGAGCCTCATCCATTTTCTCAATGCTCTTGAGGACCTGTGCTGGGTGTCTCTTGTTAGATTGAATGAGGTTGTACTACATATACTTCTAAAATATGTACAATTTAATTATCTAAGAATATTCAGAACTAAAATGAGAAGGTCATACTTCCATTATTGCTATTTTTACCTTCATATGGTGAAGCAGTAAAACCAGATGGGCTTATTACCATAAATCCAGGGCTCATAAGGGACCTTCCTCCACTGCTGGAATGCCTCAGGTACATGATTGACCGCACTTTCTCCTGAAAGATCTTGCCATCTAGAATCCAAATTTTTTTTGAAACAGCAAAATTTTTAAAAAGGATAAAACGAAAATATAACTTTAAAAGCAGATCATTAAATTCAAATTTTGACAAAAAGATGTTTAAAGAGAAAAATATATAGCATACTTTATATTAAGGCACACGATATGTGAATACTTACTCTTCACAATTTTTTAGTACAGATTTTGCTGTTGTTTATTATTTCTGGCCACATTAACTTCTATTTTCTTAATTCCAACTGTACTTATAGTTATTTCTATGGTTTAACATTTAACTATTCACTTTTATATGTTATTATCATCTCTCAAGGGAGATTGTTCATCCTTGAGGAAAGGACTGTGTCTTTTATTTTTATATATCCCCTTCAGTGTCTAATATTTGTAAAAACTAATCATTTCTGAGCTTCATACTTATAAATTCAACTGCTTGGTTTCTTAAACAAATCACAAATGCAACAAATCTAAATCCGAATCATCTTTTTGCCCTAAATTTACTCCTTCTGTTTTGTTCTTTGGGAAGTTCCCATGTGGTAACCTGGAGCTACCCTTGACCACTACCTTTCCTTTATCCATGGCAAATCAGTCACCAGGTTCTACTGACTTTTTCCCTTTTTTTGAGACAGTCTTGCTCTGTCGCCCAGGCTGGAGTATGGTGGTGTGATCTTTGCTCACTGCAACCTCTGCCTCCCTGGTTCAAGCAATTCTCATGCCTCAGCCTCCCGAGTAGCTGGGATTACAGGCATGTGCCACCACGCCCAGCAACTTTTTTTTTCTTTTTTTTTTAAGGAGAGACGAGGTTTCGCTATGTTGACCAGGCTGGAGTTGAACTCCTGGCCTCAAGTGATCCACCCACCTTGGCCTCTCAAAGTGCTGGGATTACAGCATGAACCACCATGCCTAGCATGACTTCATTTTTTGTTTCTTGACCTCTTCTCTTCCCTACCATAGTGCTATAATGCAGGCTTTATCATCTCTCAACTGGGTTACTATCACAGATTTCTAAATGGTATCCTTGATGAGCATCTCATTACTCTCAAATCCTCACAGCTACCAGAATTCGCTCTCTCTCGAATGTCAACTCCTGCTTAAAACCTTCCAGTGGCTTTCTATGCCTCCTTACCACCTTGGATAAAACCCAAGCTTCTTGTCCACAAGAATTACCACTATTTGTCCCTAGGTCCCTCCCAAGCCTTGTTTCATAAATTACATTTCAGCAACACCACTTTCTCCTAGTTCCCTGTCAAGCTGTTTCCTTTACCTGGAAGGCCCTTTTCTCTTTGATTCTTACTCATCCTTTAAGATTCAGGGCAGGCATCACTTCCTCTGGGAAATCCCCCTCAGTCTTCATATGCTCTATGCTACCAGAAAACAAAAATGTTGACTGCCTTATCACTGTGCTTTCCACGTGGCATGATATAATCGTTTCTTTATCCTCTTTCCCTCAACTAGGCTGTAAACGTCTTAAGAGAGGGGACCATATTTTACCCATCTTTGTAACTAACCCACTCTCAGAATCTTTATCCACAGTCCTTTTTCCATGAAATGTGCTAAGCCTACCACAAAGTCATGCTATCTAATTTCATTTGGACATTTACTGCTGCTTATTTTATTCATTTACTACATTTCTTTTTTTTTCTTTTCTTTTTTTTTTTTTTTTTTTTTGAGATGGAGGTTTGCTCTTGTCACCCAGGCTGGAGTGCAATGGCACATTCTCACCTAACTGCAACCACCGCTTCCCGGGTTCAAGCCATTCTCCTGCCTCAGCCTCCCAAGTAGCTGGGATTACAGGCATGTGCCACCATGCCAGGCTAATTTTTTTTTTATTTTTAGTAGAGATGGGGTTTTGCCATGTTGGTCAGGCAGGTCTTGAACTCCTGACCTCAGGTAATCTGCCTGCCCCGGCTTCCCAAAGTGCTGGGATTACAGGCGTGAGCCACCGTGCCTGGCCCCATTTACTACATCTCTTAAAATGGCTATTGTACAACCAGTTTTCCAATGTAAATTTATGACTCAGCTTTCTTGTAGGTACATTCTTGCTTTCTTTCTTACATTACATTTCCCTGGTTCTTAAAAAAAACTGATTATTCCATCTTTCTCTTTTACTGATTCTTCATTCTTGTCCTACCCTCCAACTAGTAATACTACCAGCAGTTCTTTCCTTAGCTTTCTCTTTCCTTCTCTTGCTCTACTTTTCTTCAGTGGTCTCATCTGTTCTCAGAGCTTCACCTCACTTCTATGTGGACAGCTCCTTATAACCTACCCTTCCTTCTTCATGCTGTAACCCTCATTCCCAATTGCCTACTAGAAAATTATATTATAAATAACTGCAGGGCACCTCAAATACAACATATATTATACAACCAAAGCCATTATCCTTTTTCCTTAACACCTCCAGAGTCATTCCATCCTAAACTTCCCACTTCTCAATTTATCCCTCCTTTCCAGTTCCACTGTTACTATGCCCAGATTCTGTTATCCTGTCTCTCACGGACTACTATAATTGGCCTTACTGCCCCTAGTTCCTTATTCCTGAATTCTACTGCAATAATTTACTTATAGCCTTTGCTCAAAACAAACAAATAAAACCCTTTCAATGACCTATAACTAGAATACAAGTTCGAATTCTCTGGCCTTACATTCAAGGACCCATTTGATATGACTTTAGGGTAAAAATAAGTAAATGGTGGTCTTAAACTGTATTTATGGCATTATTTCTCACTATTCCTTTACAGATCCCCTATATATAGGTAAAACTCATTAGTCCTTATTTTCTATTTCCTTTTATCCTCCCTTTAAAGTCATTGTCTTTACCTGGAACACTAACTCTCCAATCTACCTATCAAATTCTACTCAAAATCTTCAATGTCTACATCAGATGTCATGTAACCTATTAAATATTCTCTCCACAGTGGTCGGATGAAACCCTCTGTCCACTGAAATCTCATTAGTTCTTCTTTTGTGTCTCTTTGATACTTACCAAATACACATTTTTTTTTTTTACTGTAGTTATTTGAGTCTATGTCTCCTTTCTCCACTTGGCATTTAGACTCCTTGAGGACAGAGGCCATGTCTAGTTCATTCTATAACTCTCTGCCCTATCCCAACCCCAATATGTAATTAGAGCAGCACAGAGGCCATTCAAATGTCAAACAAATGTGAATCAAGTGGGAAGAATAAAACAAAAGTGGAAATAGCCATGATCTAACAAAAATGATTATACCTACCTATGTGCAAAGAAAAGTAGAAGTTCGTGGGATTGTGACAAACGTAAGTATTAGTAGGAGGGTGAACTGCTAAAAGGAAATTGAAGATAATTGTCAATAATTCCAAATCTGGAGGAGATCCAAGGACTTCTGCTATAATTTTCACAAATGATCTACAAACCTCTCGGGGCATGGGTGTGAGTTGCCCCTCTTTGTATTCCTGAAAAAATAAAAAAAACTCTCTTTAGATTTAAAGAATTGTCAACTTAACTAAGATTTTTCATTTAGGCAAAATATTCTTTTTAAGATAGAATTCTGTTGGTTTACTACTCTAGTCTGATCATACTTACCATTACCATAACAACTCATTAAATTGAGTTATTTCCTAATTCAAGCAATCTTGTTATTAAAAATTCATTAACACAGATGGCAACTTAATTCTAGCCCATGTATCTTAATTAACTGAGGCAAACTTATATAACTCTCACAAGCGTGGTCTCAAAAGCCAGACTTCCTAGGTTTGCATTCTGGTTTCTCCACTCACTAGCCATGTGATCTTAGGTAAGTTACTTAACATCTGCATGCTTCACTTTCTTTGTCTATGTGAGTAATACTAGTGCTACTTTATAGGGTTGTTATAAGGACTAAATAACATAAACTCTTAGAATAGTGCCTTGCATATAGGTAAGCCCCATATAAATGTTAGTGATAAACTACAATCACTACTATTACTACTGCTACTATCTTTTCTTCTCCTTTTACTACTACTACTATTAGTAATATTAGTATAGGATTAGGACAGAAAACTTTTGATGGACAAAACTCGTTATACTAATACAATATGCTCCAGTTTACAAAGCTTTTTTTCACAACAGCTCTATGAGAGGTTTTAGCCCTCATTTCTAGAATATGAGGCACAAAGAGGTTATTTGACTAGTGTAAACCACACATAAAATATGTAGGTAGTACAATTATAACTCAAACTCAGGCCTCTGAACTCTTTCTACTGCACCATTTACTGTCTGGAATAATGAGGCTTGGCAAAATGCCAACTAATTACTAAAAATAAAGCTGTATATAAATAAATTGCTTATATCCTCCAATTCCATCTCCCCAGTGGGTAGCAGCTGGCCTCCAGATTAAGGGTATGGGAGGTAAAATTCCTCATCTTCCCTCTTCATATGTCCAAATATATATCTCTACATCCACTCTTCATTTACTCTTGGGTATTACTGAATTGGAGTACTTAAAATGTAGATGTTAATTTTGAAACAATTTAGTTCGACTACCTCAGATTTAAGAAGGGAACACTGAGTCTACAGAAGAAAACACAAAACTCCTTTGCCAAGTTCTCATAGCTGTCAAGTGGCAAAGACTAAGACAGGAACATAGATCTCCCGACTTCCAATTCAGAACTATTTCTGCTACAACCATCTGCATTTCTTCTAAACCATACTCCATGTATCTTCTTAACTTTCTTGGTTGCAGCATCAGTGATTCATTCCCAAGTCCAGCCCAGGTTACTTCTATCTTGCCCTCTCCACTGACTCTTTATCAATAGTCACTGGTATTCTATTTTATTATTTTTTTAATCCCTTAACTTTACCTTATATGAACATTCTGTTTCTGTCTTTGCTTTTGCTGCTGGACTTTTTAATAATCATTTGTTCTCACTGCCTTCAATGATCTGCCACACATGCTGTCCAAAGTCCCTGAAATCTGGCTCTTGCCTTATCCATGCTATTGAAATCTTGTAAGTCATTAAGAATTTCTGAGTCAATGGCCCTTTATCTGCCTACATTTTCTCTGAACTTTCTATATCATTTGGTTCAAGGTATCATCTTCTTCTCTACATGTTCTTCCCCCTCTGCCGACCTCTGGCTTTCACTTTACTGAGTCTCCTCTTAGCTTTTCAATTACTCTTTCTGTATCTCTTTCAATAGCCCCTTTTTCTGGTTTCACATCCTGAAAATGGGTATCTCCTGAGGTGTAAACCTCAGTCCTCTGATTCTCTCACTACGTTTCTCTGTCTTGGAGTGCTTCTCTATCCTGATGGCTTCACTATTACCAGTTCACTGTTGCTGAATATCCTGCTGTAATTTCAAATGTAGATACAAAAACTACAAAACTTACAAGGTTGCTTTTTTTTCTTATGAAATTATTGTTTTTCTGGTCTCCCGGCTTGAAATTTTATGTTATATTTGACTCCTCCTGAAGCTCCATTTAAAAAGAATCAAGTCCTATGAATTCTATCCTTATAATCTCTCCCATATTTGCTCCCTACTAAACACTCCCATTTTAATCACCAGGGTTCAGGTTCTTTATGCTGTACTCACAAATGAATGAAACTGCCTTACATCCAATATACTACCAATTTATTAATCTTCCTAAAGTGCACAAACACTCTGAGGTAACTTAAAGGCAAAGACTAAGTTCATTTCTTTATAAACTTCCCACAATACCTGACATAAAGCTATGTTTAATAAATGGCTGTTAATTTGATAAGTGGGCTCTTTGAACAAACAAGGGTAAAGAACTATACATGTAAAGAAAAAAATTTGTACCTAGATTTTTTCTAGCATTTTTGTAAATAATACAAAAGTGAAAAAATATATGGAAATCTCAAAGTTTATAAGTGCCACTTTTCTGACATGCAAAGACTGAATAAGAATATCACATTGTCATATGAACTTAATGAAAATTGGCCAATATATTTCAAAATGGACATGCGAAGGAAAAAATTTTGAGGAAAACTGATGTATAAATGATGCATAAAACACTCAGTAAGCAAGGGGCCTGAAGGATCAATCGACATATTCTATTCCCTACAACAATAGTCTAATTTACCACAGGGGCCAAGAAAGGCAATAAAATGTTTTTGTGTTTTTGGAATTCATTCATTTAACAAATATTTATCAGATGCCCAGGTGTGTCAAGTACTGACATTACAGTGTGATTTAAAACAAAACAAAACAAAAACCATATCCCTGCTTTCAGGAGGCTTACAGAGGGAAATAAACCATAATTCCATAAATAACTAACAAACTGTATGTACATAGTGTATAAAGGGAAAAAGACTAATTTATATGGAAAGGGCAGGGAAGGTATCTCTCAGGAAGTAAGTCTTAAGTTGCCACGTGGAGGATAAGTAGGAGTTGGCCAGATGAAAAGAATGGGATCAATAATTGTTAAAGCAAAAAGAATACCATGTACTCTGAGACAGAAAAAAGTCTTACTTGTTTAAGGAAGGGAAAGAAATCCAGGGAGGCTGAGTACCATAAGATGAAGCTAGAATGGTAGCCAGATCATATAAGCCTTCTCATATTAACACTTCTTACAGATGTTGTCACAGATTTTGAATTTTAGCCCAACTATAATGAAAAGCCCTTAGTGCCACCGAAGCAAAGGCGCTCAAAATATAAAATATTACTGATCTCATGGAGTATCTGTACTTATCTAACTTGACAAAGTTCTAATCGATGCCTTAGACATTAAAAAAAACTTGGAAAATTGTCTAATATACCAACCAAGCAGATATTTATCAATGCCTTTTATCTGTTTGGTTGGTATTAGATGATATCAATAAAGGCAGAGAAAAAAATTAACTAAAAGGGCCACAGCATAGACATTACAATGTAACTGATACAATTAGTGTCACTTTTTAATAAAAATTTTGGATACAGTTTAAAATGCTAATTCTAGCATATAAAATAGACCGTTAGCAAGTTTATATTTATTAAAGCAATACATATTTGTAAATATTTATTTAAGGAATATGGAACAAGTTAAAATTCATTAACTATTCTTGCTGTTCAAGGCAGTACAAAACTATTATTCTATCCCAACATAAAGAAACATCTAAGAAATTTAGTAATTGTACTTTTGTAATTGAGTTAGGAATTATGACAGCGTGATGATCAAGCTGTAAGATGCAGCAGTTGAAAAACTCCTGTACTATTTTTTGAAAGAAGAGAATCTGGAGAGAAGATGGAAAAAAAAAAGAAAAAAAGTCCCATTGAAAGTGCCACAAAAATTTGATGTTCATAGTATTATTAAACAACTGTGGAATATATTTCCAAAAGTAAAGTTACATGAAAAGTACCTGCAAAACCTGACAAGTCAGTAGAAAGTGATGAACCACTTGAGCTTTCAATAACTGCTTAATATTAAACATCTGCTGGTGGTGATCTGCTCTGATGAGGACTTCTAGAGCTGCTAGCAAAGTTTCCCAAACACCTTGCTGAAGAGATAAACACACACCAATAAGCACATACTTACTGAAAAATATGCAGCATGCTTTTTGGAAGACACACAACGCGCAACAATTTAACATTGTGTATATATTCAGTATCAAAGATTACATGTCTGCAAAAAGCCAATGTTAAAATTTATTCCCTATTATTTTTTGTTGCCAATAGGCTATTTCTAAATAGCTATGTTGAATACAATATTGTATTAGGTGCTTTCCTACATTACCCTTTCTGTGGCATTAAATGTATTTTCAAAAGATGAATTATCAAGAGGGATTATTCAAATTAGAGAAGCACACACATTACCAACATTATTGTTTTTAAATAATTTATGTTCAAAGAGTGTTGTTAAAAATGTACACATTTCAATACCAATCTGCATATGCAGCATTTAACCAAAAAATTTTAGAGCAAATCATACTAAATTGAAGAGTCATGGATAATGTGAAAATTCTGCAATTTTAGATTAATTTACTTTCAAGTTCAAATAATAGAATTATCTGCATGATTACAAACTATGCACTTCAAAGAGTAGTTAGCATCCCTTGACAGTGCCTTAAAATGCTTCTCCCATATTGAATCAATCTTAACTTGTCCATAATACTAGAGAAAAAAAGAGATCTTACACTGATAACTAATATTGAAAGATAACCTTCCCTTCATCTTATTATCCTAATTGACCTTTCAATAAAGCTTTTAACAAAAAGCAAAATTAACTGGCTTGGGTTGCAGAGCCTATTTCTCCTGCCATTATCTGGCAATAATGAACCAAGATATTGATAGACTTAATCATACTCTTCTACCCAGGGTCTCTCTCTTTATAAGATAGAGCCAAGATATTCTAAAAGACAAAGCCACACGAAAACCAGCAGACAAGGCAGCCAAAGTATGAAAACATGATTCAAATCTGAAAAGTAGTACCAAGATAAAATAGTGCCAATGTAAACAAACAAATACCAACAAAAAAAGAAAAACGAGACTTAGTTCAAATATAATTAATTACGTAAGAAAATCTTATTTCAAATCCATAGAAGTAATATGTGTCTTATCACTTTCAAATTCAATTTAAAAATGTTTCTTTTAAAATCAAACAACCCCAAATTTGCCTGCTCTTTTGAAGTACTAAATAAACTTTGTCCAACTTTGTCCAAGTTAGGTTTTCCAACCTGCAACTGAGCATATTCTTTATTATACATTTATACTGCTTTTGATCCAATTTGTTTACATATGCTATCCCTGTAATTATTTGCTTTCTCCCTGCAATATTACACATATTTTAATCTATCTTATCTTTTTTTTTTAGATCTGAAAGTATATATTTATTCAGAGTGAGAAAAGGCATCACAACCAATTACAAAGTTTAAAAAACTGAAAAGTACCATGAATACCACAAAATCCAGAAACATGGCAATAGTTAGTTGGCTGTTGGACATGCCTTTCAAAATACTTTTCTCTGTTTTGTGGCTGCATACTCTTGAATTGCCTCTTCATGTAACAACAATTTTGTAATATAATTTTCTATAGGAAGAATAGAAAATTCTCTTTCCTCTAGCATATTTGAACTAAACTTATTTTTATTACTAATAGATTAGAAAAGGTTTTTTAGTTTGTTTTTTTTTTTTTTTTTTTTTTTGGCCAGGCATGGGGGGCTCACGCCTGTATCCCAGCACTTTGGGAGGCCAAGGCGGGAGGACTGCTTGAGCCCAGGAGTTTGAGACCAGCCTGGGCAATATAGTGAGACTTCATCTCTACAAAAAAAAATTAAAAATTATCCAAGCATGGTGGTGCACACATGTAGTCCTAGCTACTTGGGAGGCTGAGGTAGGAGGACCACTTGAACCTGAGAGGCAGAGGTTGCAGGGAGCCAAGATGGTGCCACTGCATTTTAGCCTGGGTGACAGAGTGTGCTCCTGTTTCAAAAAACAAAAGGAGTCTTTTTTCAACCTCATAACTCATTACTGGTAATGTGTAAATTTTTAGGGACTGTTGGCAAGTTGGGAATAACCATTTTAAAAAAATTCTAAAGGTATATATATTCTGAATTGCTCTATAAATAATATTTGTTGATAATCTTGTTATATTCTAATTAGTTCTAGACAATCTAGTTTTTTTTTTGCAAAAATCATCAGTACCTACTAGAACCCTGCCACACTTAGAGCAAACAGTCTACACTAGAACTAAGAAGGCTGTATGAGCCTATACTATTAAGATTGCTTAAAACTAGGGCAGAAAGGAAACAACCCTATACTCATTCCCTGACTGGGTCCTTGTGAAGACAAGCCCAGCCATTCCAGGTGCTGAGATGTAGTGCCTACATCTAAGATCAATCTATGTTGCTTAATTTGTACTTACGATGAAGCCTTGCCCTATATACCATGGTCCTATCTCTAACTCCTGGCCAGCATGGCTCCCCTAGTTAGAAGTGTATCCATTTCCCTCTCCTGGACCTGACTCCCCTGACTCTTAGCAGTCTCCCCTTTCAGAGTTTATGGTAAATGCAAGCCTTCAGCTGATCCAGATAAGCCCATATGCTCCTGCCTGACTGCAGTATTCTTAGCCAGCCCAAGTTTGATTTTGACTCTCCAGCTCAGCATTCCCCATGGCTGTTCAAAACTTTGCATGGGAAATAAGTGCCAGATTTCCATTTATAATTAACATTACAATGAAGTAATAAATTAATTATTTCTTTCAGAAGAATGATTAGATAAATATTTAAAAGAATATGCTGGCTGGGGGTGGTGGCTCATGCCTATAATCCCAGCATCTTGGGAAGCCGAGGCAGGCAGATCACTTGAGCTCAGGAGTTCAAGACCAGCCTGAGCAACATGTGTGAAACCCTGTCTACACCCAAAATACTAAAACTTAGCCAGGCATGGTGGCACACATCTGTGGTCCCAGCTACTTGGGAGGCTGAGGTAGGAGTATCATCTGAGCCTGGGGGTGGAGGTTGCAGTGAGCCAAGATCACGCCACTGCACTCCAGCCTGGGCAAAAGAGTAAAACTCCATTTCAAAAAAAAAACAAAAACAAAAGCAAACAAACAAAAAAACGAGTATATGCTTCTATTCACGGTAGCTAAAATGTGGAAACAATCCAAGTGTCTCTAAACTGATGAATGGATAAGCAAAATGTGATAAATATATAGAACGGAATATTATTCATTCTTAAAAAGGAAATTTGGACATATGCTACAACACAGATGAGCCTTGAAGACATTAAGCTAAGTGAAATAAGCTAATCACAAAAAGACAAATACTATACGATCCTACTTATATGAGATCCTTAGATTAGTCAAAAGTAGAATGGTGGTTTCCAGGGGCTAGAGAAAGAGGGAGAACATTTGTTTAAAGGGTACAAAGTTTTGGTTTTACAAAACAAAAAAGATTTACAGAGATGGATGGTGGTGATGGTTGGACAACACTGTAAATGCACTTAATGCCACTGAACTGAAACTTAAAAATGCTTAAGATGGTAAATTTTGTGTTATATGCATTTTACCACAATAAAAAATGGAAAAAAAGTACATATTACATGCCTCTGCTTTACTCCATATCTTCCAGTCAAGCAATAGTTCCTCTAACAGCTTAACATCTTGGATTATAGCATTAGAGTCTACATCCAACTTAAACTCTCCATTCTCATTCATATAAATAATATCTTCACCACAGCATCCTTCAAGAAGGGTCTATAGAAAATTAGCATTAATATAAGATGCATTAGTAATTGGTTAATCAGGAAGTTCAACAGAAACATTAAGCTTTCAATTTTAGCAATCATTAAATTCAAAGGAAAGCTAGTAAATAATTTAACACTTCACAAAGTATCTTTAACTTGTTTTGTAAAACAATTCAGATAAGTAGAAAATCCCAAACTTACAAATATTTTTAAGTGAGTACTCAGGTTCAAACAAGGGGTGAAAACAAACAGCACTCAATTTTTATGTTTTAAATTGAATTAATCTGCTATTAGGCTTTAAAACGTTTTCAAAAAAGTAGTAAGGATTCATGCCACAAATGTATGGATCTTGCAGTTTAAAGAAGTAGGGGTGGAGGCAAGGGTAGAGCAATCGTCTTTTGCCTTAGTACCAGAAGTCTCAGAGAGAAATATTTCCACAATGTTACCAAATGCTTTCATCTAGAAATGTATTTAAATATATGATGATAGCGGGATCATAATAAAAATGAGCACGAATATCTGTGACTTGAAAAACTAACTCTGTAGCAGCAGTGCCTAATGGAATGGTATGCCTCTAGGTGCCTAGAGAACTGGGTTCTCTGCCATAAGGGTGGGAGCTAAAGCAAAGATCTCATCAATCTACAGAATGAAGGGACAGCATGGGAGATATCTATGGCCCACCCAGGTCTAAAATTCAATGAGTTTCTTTCTTTCTTACTTTTAAAAAATGCTTTAAAGAAAAGAAAAATGTAATTATTTAAATGATGAAAAGAACTAGAAGAGTATCTTAGTTTGATTAACTATACACTAATAAGTTTCCTCCATTTTCTTCAGGAATAACTGAAATACAAAACTATTATTGGAAGACTTTGATGACGAGATGAGTATCACTGCATATGAAACTATAAGAATAAATTTTATGAAGACATACCTTCAAAATGTAAAACCCAACAATGCATTTTTGTTTGATCAACACCTGATGAATCATAGAAAGTCCATTACAATTTTCTAATTCATGTACTCTTTGTTGGTTGTATTTAATTAATGAGAGTATAACTCGCAGTGCTAATGCTTGAGTTTCTTCACAGCTACTGAGTTCAACAACCTAAAAAAAAAAATGGGTGGATATAGTTTTCTCCCAATTTGCTGAGAGTAAAAATTTAACATGTATAATCTTCCATTCTGTAACATCAATCCATTAGTTTCTACAAAGTATTTTTTTAATGCTCATACTCTACCTATGTAAGGCTTGTGAATAAACAAAACTGAGAGTAAGGCATAAACTCCATGTTCTATAGTCTCTTATATATACTATAGTATACAATGACACACAACCTTAGTGGCCAGTAGCATTTTATAACTAGTGATCTGAAGTGTCATAAGTTTTTGATAAGTTAGTCAATAGACAGGCTCTGCATTATGTGGTAAGGGAGATAAAAAGAAGTAAAATACATGATACTTGTTCCCAATGGGGTCTACTGTCCTGTCAAAGAGATAAGATGTATCTATAAAAACCACATGTCCTGCCTTGTATGTCAATTTACTTCAACCAACACTTTCTGACAACTACTATATACATAAGAAACACACACTTATTATCATGCTAAAGGCCAAAGAAGAATGAGACAATAGGTATTCTGGAGAGCACAGAGACCATTCTGATCCCTCTCTGCTTGGTTTAAGGGAAGGCTACACAGAGAGAAGATGGCCTAGGAAGAGAGCCAAATCCTGGAAAGCAGGAATAAAGGGGTGGCTAAGGCAGGGCACAGCCAGGGGAAGGGTAAAGGCCTAAACTGGAAGTTCACAGTACATCTAGGAAGCTGCAGGTTGCCTCTTTGGCTGGATTGTAGAGACCAGGTTCACAAGGCAGGTTATGCATGTAAGGATTTTAAGGACACTGAATTTTATTTTTGTAGGGGAGGAGGAAGGATACTGAACAAGGTTTATAAGTTTTAGACTTAAAAACATACTTTAAAAGTCTTATTGGCAAGATACTAAACATATAAAGATAAAAATGTAAACATTTTATCTAAGATCCAATCTCTATGTAACAATAACAAAATTATATTCAATACCTTGATGAAAGAGAAGAAAACAAGGATATACATTTTGAAACTATACGATGGTACAAAATATCACAAAATATTGGTGAGGAGTTAAAGGGCTTTTAATTTTAAAACACTAGGAGATAATCTATTTAACTAGACACTAGATTAAAAAAACTATGAAAAAGGAAGAGGTGGAGAAGAAAAGACAGATTACAGAGTATGGTGGATCAAATGCTAACAAAATATTTGTAAGAACCCTAACAACAACAAACGCTGATATGCTTCTTATTGCAAAATTAATCAACGATGCTTCCATTAAAGAAAGTTAGATAGGGAGACTATGAAAACTTGATAATGTTGCAAAAGTTATACTTAGGGATAAAACGAAGATGGCATTCCGAGGATGAAGGAAGATCAAAGCTGCTTTAATTAAACAGGGATGTGGATCCAGAGGAAGTAGAAATGATTTTTACTAAAGTGAGACTGTTGGTGCTCCCTAACATAGGTTTCAGCAATCCCTGAAATAGTCTATAATTACTGACTGTCTACTTTGCATCAGGACAGATAATTAAATGACTCATTCGAAAATGGTACTTATGGCCTGAGTCAAACTTTATATGTCTCTTTTTTGAAAAAACTCCAAACCCAAACAAATTAAAGTTTTTTTTTTTTTAAAGTATTTTTTGACCCTTAGTTTTTTCCTATGCATTGGAAACATTTAAGGAATAAAAACTTCATAAATTTTATTTTTAAAAATATCCTCCTCTCAATTTAAAATCTTGTACATTTAACATTTAATTGTACTAATTACATTTTTGGTTAATAGAAAACTTCTAAAATATTCATAAATTAGAAGAAACCTTAATCATCTATGGCAGAAAGCTTAATAACATTTTAATATGTAATTTTTTTATGTTAAAAGTTTAATATAGTCGAGTGTAGCTTTTTCGTGTGGTCCAAAAGAAATCCTTTAATTTATCAATAATAAGTAAGTCATTTCTCTTTAGACAAAACTATAAGCAGTGATTCTTACCCTGGCAAAGAGAAAAACAAATATGCCAGTTCCACCAATTTCGTGCAGAATGCCTTGAATAGTTTTATATTCAGTAGGTTGGAGATTCTTTAGATGATGAGGTTCTAATAAGATGCTCTGAACTTCTTTTGAGCTGAAGGGTCTTTGAGAGAGTTGGGTTTTCATTTGACCTTTAAGTCTAATCACTGGTTCATAGATGGTATACTGAGCAGGACAGTAAGTTGTATAAACAACTGAAAGACTTTCCTGAAATACAAATATTTTCATTCAGTAATGACAACAAGTTTAAAATGCAAGCTATGAACTAGCAAGTAAGTATTTCAAAGTGAAAACACACTCAACTGATCCTTTTCTTTGTTTAAAAAACAACAGCTACTACACTAAACAGATAAACATTAGAAGCAAGGCTGTTTCCCACAAAGCAAATGGTCAGTGATTTATTTAGCAGTGATCAATTGTATAGATCACATCAAGGTTGAGAAGGATTCCAGCTTTGTTCGGTTTAGAATATATATTAAGTTATACTATTACTACTAATATCAACTAAGTCTTAAACCACACTTATTACATACCAGGCACTATTCTAAGCACTTAAAAATATTGGGAACTCTGGGTCAGGTCAATTTATTTGAAATTTTTGCTTTGCATTTGCTCATTGGCTGACTCTTCATTTAAAAGCAACTCTAAACTAGATCTTTCTACTGGAATAAAATTCCAGATTGTCAACAGTCAGCACACCTAACTAAAATAAAATAGAACTTCAAATATTTCTCCCAGGCAAAGGATAGTTTCCATCAGTGTGTGGCTCCCTGTCAAGATTCTCTAAACTATTTTAAAAATTAAAGTTAATTTTAAATACAGAATGCATGTTTTTCTTAGAGACAGTGTCTTGCTCTGGCACCCAGGCTGGAGTGCAGTGGCATGACCATAGCTCACCGTAGCCTTGAACTCCTAGGCTCAAGGGATCCTCCCACCTCAGCCTCCCAAGCAGCTAGGACTACAGGCACCTGCCACCACACCCAGTTAACCCAGTTAAATATATATATATATATATATATATTTTTGTAGAGACATGGTCTTGTTATGTTGCCCAGGCTAGTCTCAAACCCTTGACCTAAAGTGATCCTCCTGCCTGTGCCTCCCAGAGTGCTGGGATTATAGGCATGAATCTTGGTGTCTGGCCCATAATGTACTTTAAGGTGGTTTTAATGGTAGTAGATGCCAAACCCAGGCTTAGGGAAATCATATAGATTCAGTGTCTTCTCTCAGAACTGGATGGGGGCCTTGTGCTTAGATTATTCTTATTATTTATTTATTTATTTATTTTTCCGAGACGGAGTCTTGCTCTGTTGCCCAGGCTGGAGTACAGTGGCGTGATCTCAGCTCACTGCAACCTCTGCCTCCCGGGTTCAAGCAATTCTCCTGCTTCGGCCTCCTGAGTAGCTGGAATTACAGGTGCATGCCACCACGCCCAGCTAATTTTATATTTTTAGTAGAGACAGGGTTTCACCATGTTGGCCAGGCTGGTCTCGAACTGGCTGGTCTTGAACTTCTGACCTCGTGATCTGCCCGCCTCAGCCTCCCAAAGTGCTGGGATTACAAGCATGAGCCACCGTGCCTGGCCTGTGCTTTATTTATGACCCACAGCAATCAGACATACCACCCAGCGTATCTGTGCACCAGCTAAACCAATTATACTGTCTGTTGTGTATGATTATGCTGGAAAAGCAAAGTTTCAAACCTGCAGTAGTTTCAATCAGAAATCTGACGTTGCACCCTGACATGAGGGTACCATTTCTTGTCTTTTTTCTTTTTTTTTTTGAGACAGAGTTTGACTCTTGTTGCCCAGGCTGGAGTGCAATGGCGCATTCTCGGCTCTCTGCAATCTCCGCCTCCTAGGTTCAAGCGATTCTCCTGCCTCAGCCTCCTGAGTAGCTGGGATTACAGGCATCTGCCACCATGCCTGGCTAGTTTTTGTATTTTTAGTAGAGACAGGGTTTCACCATGTTGGCCAGGCTGGTCTCAAACTCCTGACCTCAGGTGATCCACCCGCCTCGGCCTCCCAAAGTGCTGGGATTACAGGCATGAGCCACCGTGCCTGGCCGAGGGTACCACTTCTCCCTAACCATTGTTTCACAAGCTTATAACTCCCAAATTACTAAATCGGGCTTAAACAATTTGCTCTCTAAAAATAGTTTTCACATAAAACCCTCAGAATTTTCATTCATGATAATTTATGTTGAGTTTTGTAACTTATATGACCTATATACCGTTCAGGAAAAATAAAAGGATTAGGGAAATTTTTCTATGAAAACAAATGGATTAACCAAAAACTATTGAGTTAAAGTTATTACTTGAACAAACATCTGTGTGAGCTCCTCAGTCTCCCTAAGGCAGAGGTTCTCAAAGTGTGATCCTCAACCAGCATCAGCATCACCTAGGAACTTCTTAAAAATGTAAATTCCAGGGTCACACTTCAGACCTACTGAATCAGAAGCTCTGGCCCAGCAATCTATATTTTAACAAGCCCTCTGGATGATTCTGGTGCACACTCAGGTTTGAGGAACCATTTCCCTAAAGGATGTTTTCTTAATGGTGGGACATTTAGGATAGGATCATTCTTTGTTGTATAATAGTGTTCATGTACTGTAGAACATTTAGCATCACTGGCCCTTACTACCCAATAATTATTGACAACCAAATCTACCCTCCCCGCAACTCAACAACAACAACAACACCACAAACAACAAAATACATTCCAAAACAGTAGTCTCCTTCAAGTAAGAAATATCTGTACTTCTCATAAGAAGCAAGAGAAAGAGGAACCCAGTTTCATGGCCAGATCTACTAGATTTTAGTAGATTTTCTAAGACTATTTATGAAGGCTCAGTTTTCTAGTTGCTATAACGAAAAATCCTCACCACTAGCTCCTACATTATATACTGGTAGAACAAAATATTGGAATAATATATAAAAATCAATAGAGTCTCATATAAGCAGAATTAGCAATACTTTGAAAGCAAAATTCCTAATTTTACTGATATTAAATAATAAGTTTTTTAGGCCAGGCATGGTGGCTCATGCCTGTAATCTCACCATTTGGGAGGCTGAGACGGGAAGATCGCTTGAGGCCAGGAGTTTGAGACTAGTCTGGGCAACAAAGCGAGATTCCATCTCTACAAAAATTTAAAATTAGCCCGGTGTGGTGATGCATGACCACAGGCCCGGCCACTTGGGAGGCTGAGGTGGGAGGATCATTTGAGCCCAGGAGTTCAAGGCTGCGGTGAGCCATGATCACACCACTGCACCCAAGCCTGGGTGACAGAGTGAAATCCTGTCTCTTAAAAAAAAAAATAAAAAATAAAAAAGAGTAGGTTTTCTAAGACCTGAATACATGTAACTAAAACTAACATTATAAATGGATATTATTTATTTATAAGTATGGAAAGAAAATATAATGAGCAACATTTTTTAGGAGTATGTCAAACTAACAAGTGTTATTTTCACTGTATCATAAACATTTTTCCTGAATAATTAGTAGGTATAAAATAAACTAAACTGATAAACTTTTTATAGAAATATAATTTCAAGGAAAAGGAGATATAAATATAAAGCCTGAAACAAATTTTGAAAGGAGATCAAAGTGTTTCAATTTTTTTCAGAAAAAAACATAATTCTAAGAAAAGAAAATGATAAGGAACCACATTAAAATCTTTAGAAATCTAATTCATAACTATACATTACAATAAATATACCTAAATACATTTACTATAAAATTAAAATTTATAAAATTAAAACTTACAATTAAGAGACCAATATCCACATCTTTCTTGGTCATAAAAAGTTCTCTGATTTGTTCACATCGCAAAATTTCTTTATTAATATATTTGGAGTAGTCATTGACTGGCTTGCCATACTTACATGGCATTACAGATGTATGGTTGGGTCCACAAGCATACAGATAAAAGGCCTCTTGTGAACCAACCTTAGCTCCTGAATAGCAGAAAAATAAAGTTAGTTATTTAAAACACCCTAACCAGAATTTTTCATAAAAAGCAAGAAACCAGGAATTATTTTTTGTAGCCAGATTCTTTCAGTTGTTCACTATATTTTATAAAATTGATAAAGCCTCAATTTCGAAATTGGTGTAACGAGAAAATAACCTATGTCAACTATGATGGAAGATGAATTAATGTATATAAAGTTAATTGTGAAGCTTTTAATTAAATCATAACATTTCCATTTGCTCCTTAGCCAGAAAACAGGTTTTCTGTTTTATTTTACTTTGTTGTATTTTTTAAATAATGGGAGCTATATCTTGGTAAACTCCATTTCTAACTAAAATTTGAATCAATATCTTTATTCCTTCCTATTTAGTCAATAAACACTGTCTGAATGCTATTATGTGTGAGGTTTAAGGACATATTTTTTAAAAATCATATATTTCATTTTTCCCTAAAATTTGATATTTGTATAAGATATAATAAAATTATAAAGGAGACAACCAAGATAAGTTTACTAGTCATGATGCTACATTATCCAGTATAAAAAAACGCTAAGTTAATATGAGCTTCTCTTTTTTGAGGATGGAAGAAATACATTTTTATATTAAATGTATATATCAATTGTAAGACACAACTAGATTACAAAAACGTTAAAATATTTTAAAAGTATATCTTAGAATCTTGGAAATACAGTACTTATTAAACACAAGTAAAGGAACATAGATGGATATTTTAGCCAGGTTAATTTACTTAGTTTAATATTTGTTAACTGAGAAAAAAAACTGGAAATGTTTCAAAGGAAAAAAATCTCACTCTGTCGCCCAGGCTGAAGTGCAGTGGTGCAATCATAGCTCACTCACCGTTGAAGAGAAGCAAATTTCCCAGGTCCCATTTTCCAGCCAACTGCAAAAACTCTTCTTGGGATGATAAACAATGGCCAATCATGCAAAATGTTTTATTGCTATCAGATGACAAACTTGTTTTTCTTGGAAGCATAAAATCCAAAGTAACATCAGGCTTCCTACATTAAAAACAAAACAAAGTTAAAGCAATGACTTTAGGAAGTCTAGTACTAAGTATTTTTAAAGTATGAATATTTAACAATGGGGAATTCTTTTTTTTTTTTTTTGGAGACAGAGTCTCGCTCTGTTGCCCAGGTTGGCACGATCTCAGCTCACTGCAAGCTCCGCCTCCTGGGTTCACACCATTCTCCTGCCTCAGCCTCCCAAGTAGCTGGGATTACAGGTGCCCGCCACCAGGCCTGGTTAATTTTTTGTATTTTTTTTTTAGTAAAGACGGGGTTTCACTGTGTTAGCCAGGATGGTCTCTATCTCCTGACCTCATGATCCACCCGCCTTGGCCTCCCAAAGTGCTGGGATTACAGGTGTGAGCCACCACACCCGGCCTACAATGGGGAATTCTTGAACAATTTTCTTGGGTCATTATCAGCTGGCACTGGGGCAAGAGAGGAGGGCTAATTGTTTGTCTCTTGGTCAAAGGTGCTGCAGAAAGAGGGGAGCCAAAGAGAGATACCTGATGATCCCACGGCAGGCCATGGGAAATGTGACTAAACATTTGCTGCAAGTTTTCTTTGCCATTTGACTTCTGTATATGCACCTTCCTGGTTTACAGATATAAACCAACCACCTCCCCTTAATTTTGCCAAGAAGTCTCCCATCTTGACAAACAATTCCAAAAACTGGAATCCATGACATTCCAAAAATGTTATGTCATCTATGAGGCCTTTGAAAACTAATCAGTAAAAACATAACTTCTTCAAAATTTCTGTCTAGCCATTGAAATGCCAATACTTTCTGCATTTTCTGTTTTCTTAATGCTAAGTGATTATGCAGCTTTTGATTAGTCTCTTTTGCTTCATGGATAACGGTGAAGGAATGCTTACAAAAGACAGTACTGGAAAAGGCAAAATAAGGCTTTCTCACAGAAAGACACACAAAGCAGGGAGGACTTCATCAACTAGTGAAACCACAGAGCTCTACCCCTAATTTAGGAATGTTTTAAACTCCATTTTAAGATAATGAGAGTAATCTATGAAGGCAAAGTCTAAATAAAATTTGTAAGATGAAGACAGGATAAGCTAACACGGGTAGCTCTTAATGAGAAATTCAACTTTGTGTATATTTATTTTAAAAGTTTTGCCTAAGGCTCTCTGTTTCACATATAACATATAAACTTAACTATTTTAATGTTTTTTTTTTTAATAAAGGAAAGATGTGGGATACATTCAATGACATACTTCTCCTTGACCAAATAAATGGCTGTGACTGAAACTCTATTGCCATCTAGTGGCATTATGACTTAAAATAGTTTTAAATTTTTTATTTTAAAAAATAGTTTTTCAATGAGAACATACGGACACAGGGAGGGGAACATCACACACCGGGGCCTGTCGGCGGGTGTTGGGGCAAGGGGAGGAAGAGTATCAGGACAAATACCTAATGCACGTGGGGCTTAAAACCTAGATGACGGGTTGATGGGTGCAGCAAACCACCATGGCACATGTATACCTATGTAACAAACCTGCACGTTCTGCACATGTATCCCAGAACTAAAGTAAAATAAAAATATAACAATGAAATAAAAATAAAATAGTGTTTTTAAGGGTGAAAGAAAACCTATTGCAGGATGAATGCAAAATGAATTAAACAAATATTAAGTATCTACTATGTGCCATATATTTCTGCCATATTTGTAAGCTGTTAATAACAACTAATAGAAAGTATTAACTCATTTTCAGTACTGTTACCTTATTTTAAAAGGCCTCTTCAAATGTATTCTTTTAGAAATTCTTTTTTTTTTTCTTTTAAATTGAGACAGGGTCTCGCTCTGTCACCCAGGCTGAAGTGCAGGGGTGCAATCATGGCTCACTGTAGCCTTGACTTACTGGGCTCAGGTGATCCTCCTGCCTCAGTGTCCCGAATAGCTGGGACTACAGCTACGCATTACCATGCCCAGCTAATTTTTTTATTTTTAGTGGAGACAGGGATTTTCCATGTTGCCCAGGTTGGTCTTGAATTCCCGTGCTCAAGCAATCCTTCTGCCTCGGCCTATCAAAGTGCTGGGATTACAGGCATGAAGCACCATGCCTGGCCTAGAAATTATTCTATAGCTTATAAAGTGACAAAGATACTAGAGAACCAAGTTTAAGTCAACAGAATAAAATATTTGTCCTTGGTCACTTGCTCTGTTAACCAATGAAATTAACTTGTGCCAAATGGCAAACAATTCTCTCAAAGGAGTATAGCTGTAAGTTGGTGGGTAAAAAAACAGAGTGATATGTGAATCAAGTGACCATGCTTACTAATTTCAGACTGTCCACAATAAAAATCTAATCTCTCATTCTGAACATTTCTAATAGTTTATGGTTCCTCTACCTGTCAGCTGACATAATTCAGAAAAAGGCTGCAGGGGCAGTAAAGCATAGGGTTTTAAAGCATGGGCCCTCCCTAGGGTCAGAGTTTAGGTTAAACTTTCAGCTCTACCCCTTACTTGTGGCATGAGTTTGGGAAAGTCACTCTAGGTCTCAGTTGCCTCATATGTAAAATTGGGATAATAATATACCTACTTTATAGTATTGTTGGGAGGATTAAATCAGGTAATCTGTATAAAGTGCCTAATACAGTGCCTGGCACATATTGAGAGCTCAAGAAATTGAGTGGAGAGTGCCTAGGAGAAAGGGGCTCTCTACTTACAACTCCAGCCCCAGCTCCATCTGATTTAACTATAGGTTCTGGAAACAAATTTGCTGATTGGCTACAGCTGCCATGGCAGCTATGAAGATCGAGAACGTCACAGACAGTATTTTATTTGGAACATGGAACATGGAAATTAGGCTTCAATTACGTATTTTTACATTTTTTAAAATGAATACAACAAAACTGAACTCTTAATTTTACTTCCAAAGCATGTTCTTGCTTGTGGCAGACACCATGGACTGTAAAGCAATCCACAAGCTCCTGCTCCCTGTCTCCCTCTATTATTGAGGCTGGACAGCTGTAAGCAATCAATTGCTGCAGCCTCCTGCAGTGATGCCCTGTCTTCCACCTCAAACTGTCCTCCTCCCACCTGCACAGGGCAAATTCCATCTCCTCCTTCAGGTCTCAGGTTTAATACCCTGTTCTTAGATAGGCCTTCCCTGATCCACCCATCGTAAGTGTCAAACTCGATATTTTCTGCCTCAGGGTTTTAAAGCATGGGCCTCACAGTATTTTTCATCATTTGTAAATATTCATTTAATTGTGTTTGCTTGTTGTCTGATTCCTCATCAGACTGTGAACTCCAGGAAGGCAGGGAATGTGTCTATCTTGTTTACCATTGTCCCCTAGGCCTAATTAATATATCAAGTGCTCAAAACACTGTAATTCCTCAATAAATGTAATGAATGAACAAATGAATGAATAAAAATAGGTTAATCTGTGTTAAGGGTATATGTTATTTCCATGGTCTAATCTACTTTGAGGGATTTTTGAGAGAATTAGATGATGTATATAAAGCACCTAGCAAAAGGTCTGCAACATAGTAAGTATGCAGTATTATATTCCCTTTGATTAAATCTAGACTTCTCAGCTTGGCATTCAAAGCCTGTTAAGTAGTCTCACCATGTCCATTCATTTTTATTTCTCATTATTCAACTTAAACTCATCCAACCAGCTTAATCCTCTACCATGCTACATTACAGTTTCGAATTCTCTATCTTCTTTCATGCTACTTCATTCAATACAATACTTCCCAATGCTTACAAATCGAAGATACCTTATAGTTCCTACAGGCTAAAATTTGACATTAAGATATTCCACAAGATGTTTCTTATTAACTTGGCTCACAATTCTCCTATGTGGTAAAAATCATACAGTACTCTCCCTGAATCTATCACTTGGTATATTTCTAGCACTCTATCTGAATCTATCACCTTATACATAGGCTAGTCATTCTAATTTCTTTTGAAAGCCTAATTTAATTTAGGTATTAGCCTTATTAGCCACTTAATTTAAATAATTATCACGGCTTCAGTTTTATAATATATGGGCTTGCAGGATGAAATTACAGATTCTGTTCTTTGATATATAGTTATACATAAATGTCTAAATTTCTGGGTATCTGCATGCTCCCCAAACCCAAATATTAATTTTCAACAGTCACTTCGACAGGAGGCTTATTTTGCATGAAAATGACCAATAGGAAAAAAAAGTCCAACTCTGACAGATTTGTAAGTTAAAGTATAGTAAATTTTTCAGAGAAATGCAAATCAAAACCACAATGAGATACCATCTCACACCAGTTAGAATGGCAATCATTAAAAAGTCAGCAAACAACAGGTGCTGGAGAGGATGTGGAGAAATAGGAACACTTTTACATTGTTGGTGGGTCTGTAAACTAGTTCAACCATTGTGGAAGACAGTGTGGTGATTCTTCAAGGATCTGGAACTAGAAATACCATTTGACCCAGCCATCCCATTACTGGGTATATACCCAAAGGATTATGAATCATACTGCTATAAAGACACATGCACATGTATGTTTATTGCGGCACTATTCACAATAGCAAAGACTTGGAACCAACCCAAATGTCCATCAATGATAGACTGGATTAAGAAAATGTGGCACATATACACCATGGAATACTATGCAGCCATAAAAAAGGATGAGTTCATGTCCTTTGTACGGACACGGATGAAGCTGGAAATCATCACTCTCAGCAAACGATCGCAAGGACAAAAAACCAAACACCGCATGTTCTCACTCATAGGTGGGAATTGAACAATGAGAACACTTGGACACAGGAAGGGAAACATCACACACTGGGGCCTGTCGTGGGGTGGGGGGAGGGGGGAGGGATAGCATAGGAGATATACCTAATGTAAATGACGAGTTAATGGGTGCAGCACACCAACATGGCACATGTATACATATGTAACAAACCTGCACATTGTGCACATGTACCCTAGAACTTAAAGTACAATAATAATAAAAAAAGAAACAACAAAAAATATAGTAAATTTTATTATAGTAAAAACCTAGAAGTTTCTGTATTCTGTTTCAGAAGCTATAATTGACTAATGAAACATAACATTGTAACTGAGATTGAGATGCATTTTCTCAAAATGCTTCCTACCTCTGTCCAGAGACCCATATGGAGATTTTCCCATGAATCCTCCTTTTCCCTTGGGGCTGCTGTAAGTAGGTGAGTACTAAATGTTGCCATTTGCTTGGGAGGAAAATATTCTCCTGTGATTCAACCTGTGCTAGTAAAACAGCTTTCATGTCATCATTTGAATCCATGCACACACTACAGAAAAAGAGAAAAGGCATAGGCTGAAAACATGAAAATTCTGACCTCAGTGTTTAACATACATATAGTAACTATAATTCTAAATAAGTAAGATTAAAAATCAGTTCTATTTTTTTTAAAGTGCTTGAAAAGTCAGTAGGTCTTCGTTTTATACCATAAGTTACTTAGTTATTCTATCATTACCTCAATTCATGAACTAAAATAGATTAGGCTCATTGGCTGGTAGTCATAATTTAGGCAATAATGTTCAGAATTCAGTTTGTAAAAAAATATATATTATTACTATTTATATAGCCATTGCCCATTTAGAAATTACAATGTATTATTTGGTTCATAGAAAAATTAATATAAATGTCTAAGTATTGGAGGTCTAATCTACTTTGTGGGATTACTGAAAGAATGAGGAGATAATGTACATAAGGCACCTAGTAATGTTTGTAACGTTTACAAAGTATATATTCCTAAATAACATACTGGTTTGTTTAGATTTGAGTTTTAGACAAATAGTATCATACTATTCATACTCAATACAAATAAAAGACCTGTATCTATACTACTTAATAAAGGAGATAGTATAAAAGGACAAGATAACAAGGAGAACCCAAGCTTATTAGGTAATCGCTATTAAATATATAATGCACATGGAAAACTTATGTCTGTTAATAACATCTTAAGACCATTACAATCTGATAGAATATTTCCATAGCATAAGACTTCAGTATTTGATCTAAAATCAAACAGAGAATTAATGTATTTTATTTACTCATTTATTTTTTGTTTTTATTTATTTATTTATTTTTTGAGACAGAGTCTCACTCTGTCACCCAGACTGGAGTGCAGTGGCGCGATCTGGGATCACTACAACCTCTGCCTCCCAGATTCAAGTGATACTCCTGCTTCAGCCTCCCAAGTAGCTGGGACTACAGGCATGCACCATCATGCCTGGCTAATTTTTGTGGTTTTTTGTTTTTTTGTTTTTATTTTTATTTTTTGTAGAGATTGGGTTTCACTATGTTGGCCAGGCTGGTCTCAAACTCCTGACCTCAGGTGATCTGCCTGCCTTGGCCTCCCAAAGTGCTGGGATTACAGGCATGAGCCACCACACCCAGCCGAGAATTAATATATTTTAGACTTTATGGATTTTTGGATAGAATAATACACTATTATAAAAGTGGTATTAATAGCTGTTAGAATGTATATATTTTTAAATGAGACTTTTTGTTTTGCTATAATGAACTTTTATTAGTAGATTTCACATTAATGTCTCTTACACAAATTATTTAAATACATTATCTATTCATGGGAGGCTGAGGATAATCAATACCGAAAGATAAGAGTGGCATTGTGGGGATCAGCCCACACTTGGATCATCAACGCTTTGGATCCCAGTGAAATTATATGAATACATCCTTCTTCTATGAGTCTTTCACCAGGATTTATGTACTCTGCACCTTCTGGTCTGTCGCTCTCTATAAGAAAAAGATGTTAGAATGATCAGTAAAATGGTTCGTAACAACTGAGTAGAAAAGTGAATTTAGAAGAATACAAAGCAAATTTGTTCATTTGTAGTAGGTTATCTACCCAGAATGTCTGAGCCTGACCTGTTCTAAACAACCATATTTTCAGAGTATAGATGTTAACTCCAAAAAAGCACGAGGGATGAAAAATGGTAATTCAGTACTTTAAAAGTTATTAGATATTAAAAAATGTATAATAACTGAGGACAATTGTGGGCGTAACCAGACCGCTATGTGACAACCTATTACAATGTGTACCAAGCTTCTTTTATCAACTATGACTTCACTGACCCTGGTCCAGGGAGCACACATCATTGTCCATGCCTCACACTACCAAAACTCATTCTAGAATTATCACAATATGGCATGATTTAAAAAAAAATATCATATTACAAATTTTAAGGAAAAACTCTAGTGTTTGAATATATTCATAATTTATATTCCCTGGTGAGTAGTTTTTGCATATAATTGCTAAGTGATTCTGAAACTCTAATGTTTCTTTAAGGCAAGCTAGGGTAAATGCTTACAGGCTTGGGCTATCTGGTTATTTATCTTGACTCCTCTTCCTCATCTTTGAAAACCCAGCACTGCCTGAAGATGTATGATGATCTACTTGTCATTATAATACATGTGACTTTATGTAAAGCTATGTTATGATATATCAAAATCCAAAATACATGTCCAAAGGCTCAGACTTTTAAAGAACACTACTGCTTATTAGACTGCATACATATTAGTTGCTATTTTTCAACAGGTAAAACCATGACCGATGTTAAAAAAATACTCCCTGTAGCGATGACAATAGTTTTAAAAAAGAAGAGTTAAGGTCACTGATTATTTTGAGGCTGCTGACCAAGATATATGATATACAGAGAACTCACATCTGATGTGAAATTTTAAAAATGTTCCATACCAAATATGAACTTCTGCAAATAAAAGAGTAGGACAAAACCAGTGTGTACCTAGGAATTATAGAGTAGTAATATTACAAATATTTAACTTAATGCTCACAACCATCTTATAAGGTAAATATATATAGGGTGACAAAATTGAGGTGCTGAGAGGTTAATTTGCCCAAAGGCACCAGTTAGTTTAGAGGTAAAAGGTATGATATCGCAGCAAAATATTCTTTATCTCTCTTCAAAACTTTTTATATATGTCTACTATTTTTAAGTGTTTATACAAAATCATCTTTCTAAAATATGTTTTCTAATATATCCTTAAAATAAAAATTAAGAAAAAACTTTCCAATATTTACTTTTCTCAGGTCACTATGTATATTTATTCATTTTATAAGAGACTGTTTACATTGAGATTGCCTCCATTAAAACATGAGAAAGCAATCTGCATAGCTTATAGTATAGTAGCAATGTTAAGGCTCTGGAATTAAAAACAGGTGGGTTTCAATTCCTTTCCATCACTTACCAGCTACATAACTTGGTCATGCTACTTAACTTCCTCTAAAAATACAGATAGTATGAGCACTTACTAACTTGTTAAGATTAAAAATGTATATAGAACCAGCTGAGCAAAGTGACACATACACAGAAAGCACTCAATGCACATTAGATAGCATAATAAATATTATCACATGTAGAGCTATCAGTTCTTAGGTGGCAAAATTCAATCCACAACAGAAAATTCTAGTGAAGGCATAGTGTCCTAAAACAGAGGTTCCACTGGATGAGAAAGATTTGTGGAATGAAGAGCTACTGAGGCCTGCATCTCCATGTACATATAAAACCCTAAACATCTGTCTCATCCAGTCATTTCATTCATTCCACAGGCCCTAAGAATTATCCTACCTACTTCACTTTCCATCACCATAAATTGCTTTTCAATGAACAGTTTTTTTTCTGCCCTAGTCATATGAGAAACAAGATGCAGTATAATAGCAATTCTTCAGTTAAAGAAGGAACTGGAATGAAATTTATTCTAATGTTGGAGAATGGCTGATGCATTTAAACATTCTGTGACAGGAACTAGGGGAGGGCCACTGAGGTAAGACATGGCATGAGAAGGAGAACTTGAAATAAAAGAGAGAAAGAAGTTTGCGACCAGCCTGACCAACAGGGAGAAACCGCTGTCTCTACTAAAAATACAAAATTAGCCGGGTGTGGTGGCTCACACCTGCAGTCCTAGCACTTTGGGAAGCTGAGGTGGGCAGATCACCTGAGGTCAGGAGTTTGAGACCAGCCTGGCCAACATGGTGAAACACCATCGCTACTAAAAATATAAAATTAGCCAGGTGTGATTGCTGGCGCCTGAATCCCAGCTATTCGGGAGGCTGAGGCAGGAGAATCGCTTGAACCTGGGAGGCGGAGGTTGCAGTGAGCCGAGATCGCGCCATTGCACTCTAGCCTGGGCAACAAGAGTGAAACTGTCTCAAAAAAAAAGAGAGAGAAAGAAAAGGAAATGGGGACTGTCTAATAGGGGCTGGGAAACAACAGAAAGAAAGGCAGCTATAAGGTTTTATCCTTTTATAACATCAGGAGCCACCCTAATCCAGTAATGGGACCAGGAGAGAAGTCACATAAGGAACTTTAGGGGCTGATGACCCCAGAAAAAGTTGTATATGTGGTGTCCCCTTCACCCCTATAAAAAACTAAAGTTTCCGTAATAGAGATTCAAGGCTTTATGACAACTCATGCTTTGATAAGTCAGGACCTACCACCACTAAGTAAGGCATTTAAGGTGAAGAACATGTTAAGAGTGTTAAGAACACTACCACATTTTTACGGCTCAAGGAAAATTATAGTCTGAAAACAATCTTTGTGTACAAATCAGATAATCCTGTCATCATACCTGTACCATCAAAACTGCTATCTGGTAAAATTAATGATTTGTTTCTTTTCTTTATCTTCTTTCCTTTTTCTGTAGTACTCTCAGCTTCATGGATACACTCCACATTAAACCACAGGGAAACACTGAAACCTTCTGATAGGTGTGGCCAGCAGTTTTGCCCCAGCAACGGCAGGTGGACTGGGGCTATGTGCCAAGATGAAAGCAGCCGATGGGGAAAACTCTCTCTATCAGCCTCTTTCTTGCTCCGTGAAACTCGTGCTCTTCTCAATAAACCCATGGCCTTACTGTTTAAAATCCCAGGATACTTTTGTGATGAAACACCGTTGCTTAAATTTGGAGCGTGCAGTAAAGGGAAGGTTAGATACTGTGAAGGGCTCATAGTAGTATCACTTTCAATAATTTTCAGAATACCCAGAAGAAGAATTTTCTAGAGAAAAAGAAAAACAAATGAAACTTTCTAATCACGTAATAAAGTACATAATAATCTTGAAATTTAGGTTATAAATGAAAATACAAACATACCCACACATATCAGCATTCCTATTTAAATACCTTCCTATCTCCCACATCTTTAAAACTTTCATTTTCTCGTAGCTGAGATAAAATATGAAACAGATTTCATTCTTTTTTTTTTAAGACAGAGTCTCACTCTGTTGCCCAGGCTGGAGTGCAGTTGCACAATCTCGGCTCACTGCAACCTCCGCCTCCCAGGTTCAGGCGATTCTCCTGCCTCAGCCTCTGGAGTAGCTGGCATTACAGGCACCCACCACCACCCCCAGCTAATTTTTGTATTTTTAGTAGAGACGAGGTTTCATCATGTTGGCCAGGCTAGTCTTGCACTCCTGACCTCAGGTGATCCACCCACCTCGGCCTCCCAAAGTGCTGGGATTACAGGCGTGAGTCACCATGCCCAGCCTTCATTCTTAAAATATGTAATCTTTTGTGGTTAATTTGTTTCATGTTTAGATTTTTTTTTTTTTTTGAGATGCAGTTTAGCTCTTGTTGCCCAGGCTGGAGTGCAATGGCATGATCTCAGCTCACTGCAACCTTTGCCTCCTGGGTTCAAGCAATTCTCCTGCCTCAGCCTCCTGAGTAGCTGGGATTACAGGTGCATGCCACCAAGCCCAGCTAATTTTTGTATTTTTAGTAGAGACGGGGTTTCATCATATTGGTCAGGCTGGTCTCGAACACCTGACCTCAGGTGATCTGCCCACCTAGGCCTCACAAAGTGCTGGGATTACAGGTATGAGCCATGGCGCCCTGCCTTAGATGTTCTCTGGAACATCCAATCCCACTACAAAGTAGCTCCAAAGTTTTCTGTCTTATTTGCTTATGCTTCTAGTCAAGGTTTCATTATAAAAATGGGTTTCCTAGCAGATAATAGTTTAAAAGACACTAAGCCACACCAATGGAAAGGGGAAGCATAGACAATAATTGAAGAGTATAGTGGATAATAACCTTTTGAAAAGGATAATCCCTAAGATGGTTGTAACTATTCATAATTAAGTTCTCTTTAGTAATTAAAATTATTCAGCTTTTCTGAAGCACAAAAACTGGGGATGGGGTGGGTAAAGAAAATATAATCTCAGCGATATGTCTGGTTAATCCAAATTGAAGTGAAATGGTTAAAATATATGCAAATAATTGAGTATTTCACACATAATAACATGAAATTGCCTATACCAACTGTCACATCAAAAGAAAGAGCTTAGTAACATTTCTAAATAATTAAAAATACATTCTATTAAAAATTGTAAGTGAAAGAATTTATCAGTGAAAAATGTAAAAATTATAGCATATTTACTGTACAAGGAGATTTCTCCAGAAATATTCTCAAAAGAAGGGTTAGCTCTTCTGAACATGTTCTTGAACTCATCAAAGATACCAAAAGATCCACCAATACTCTCTGGCATGCTAAATTAAAGAAAGAGGGAAAAAATTAAAGCTAGTACACAATTAGAGGAATAAATGAGCAATTTCACCAAAAGAGGTAAAATACTATTGTCACTTTTTGAATGGATTATAAAAAATCTAGTATAGGAATCACAAAATTTGCTGAAGAAATAGCAATATAACTAAATGTAAATCAACCAACCAACAAAAACAACAAAAACCACTTTTCTTTTTATTATTTTTATTATTATTATTATTTTAGACAGAGGCTCGCTCTGTCACCCAGGCTGGAGTGCAATGGCATGATCTCGGCTCACTGCAACCTCCACCTCCCAGGTTCAAGCAATTCTCCTGCCTCAGCCTCCCGAGGAGCTGGGACTACAGGCACGTGTCACCATGCCCAGGTAATTTTTGTATTTTTAGAAGAGACGGGGTTTCACCATGTTGGCCAGGCTGGTCTCGAACTCCTGACCTCAGGTGATCCACCTGCCTCGGCCTCCCAAAGTTCAGGGATTACAGGTGTGAGCTACCATGTCTGGCCAGCATGAGCTCACTTTTCTTGAAGATTAATTAGCTACAAGTAAACTAAGGGCATTCTTTAAAGAAACATAAATCAATATAATATTTGTTAAGCTAATGCTTCTATATCATAAAATAGTCTGCTATCTTATCTTGAAAATGTTTAAATTATATCTATCACTTTTTAAGTACGAAATTAGATGACAAGTAGTGGAAATATTAAAGATGATTTAAATACTTAAATACCACAAACTATTTAGTTTGAACATTTTCTTTATTCCATCATAGGTTTAGCATAAAACATAAATGGTGATATACAAATTCATAGAATTCTTTGGAGCAAAATAATAACTAATATTTGTAGAGCAAATTATAGTGTTCAAAGTATTTTTACATGCTTTATTTCAGCTGATCCTCACCAAAAACAAAAAACCCTAGAAAATAAATATTATCTCCACTTTGACCTGAAAGAAATAATCTTGATTTAAAACCTGAGATAAGTTTTAAAAGACTGGTAGTTTTGGAAGACCTGGAGTTTAGAGAATAGAAGCCATATTTAAGCAACATATTTTGTAGAAGCAATGAGTTGACACAGTAGCAAAATAGTACATACATCTGGAGAGACTACTTGCAATGAGACTATAAAATAGCATGGACTTTATCCTGTACATAACATGAATCCATTAAAGGTTTTTAAGTAGGAAAATAATATGATCAGTGTGTGTGCTTACTTTTTTTTTCCAGTTCAAAACTGAGAGGTTCCAGTTAAAAATGGGGAAATGGATATATACACTTGCTTCTGTGTACTACTGAAAACTCATAGCATTAAAGTACAGAATTATAAGAAGGAAGAAATCCGTAACAGCAAAAATATGTGGGGGCAGTGGGCATTGGGGCACATCTAGTAAGAGATTTAAAAATATTTCTTGAAGATGGAAAAGTAGATGTATAAGAGAAAGCTGCAACCTAGAATTCCTTTGAATTACAAAGAGGTTCAGAGCAGTAAGAAGCCGAGCTGTCCATCTAAGGTCTGGAGAGAAAGTGACAGTGCGGCCGACAATACAGGGATTAACGAAAGGTCTGTCTGTGAATATCCACCTCTCTCCTGTTTCTCAGTACAGAGCACAGATAGTTCAGTATTCACTTTTAGGTCCCAAACCTGATAACTCTTCTCTAAATAAACGAAATGGTCAGGTGTATACAGGCTTTTAGCATCATGGCTACTGAGTGTAACTGTACAGTCTGCAGACTGAACAAACTGCCTAACCAAAGGGAAAAGTAGAGACTAAAATAAAGTCTGAATGCTGTATGCCAAGCCATGCATCCTGGTTTTGGGCTGTGATGCCTGGATCAAGAAAGGGATGCCTTTTTTCTCAGTGCAAAGACACTATACGCCAGCCAAGCCCTATATGTGAAAGATGCATTTTTCTAAGGTATGCAAACTGCCATGTAGGGTAATAGTATCCCTAATGGTCCCCCAAAGCAAAGCTCTCTTCATTAGGGTGTTTGGGAAGCCCCTAATCATCCAATGGCACATTCACACAGAGCTCTTCCACATACTACCCACTCAGGAAAGAGGCCAAAATAGAAAACAAATTCACTTTCACAATATTAGAGGAAATCTCCAACAGTTTTATTAAATATAAATGGTCTAAAAAGGTTCATAAAAATATTAGAGAATTAGCAACCTAAATCAGTAAAAATAATATTTAAAAAACAAAAAAACAGACAAAACTGACCCCAGAGGAAAAAGAGATAATTTGGGGACAGAAGAAACTTTAAGATGTTTATTACTATAATCAAATATATACAAGGAGATATTATATCCTTATATGAAAAAGAAATAACCAGAAAACAATCAAAAAAGAGCTCTTAAATATTAAAATTACCGAAATAAAAAATTAAATAAAAGGTTGGGATTGAAAAAATGTCTCAAAATGTAGCACAAAAACAGTGATGTAGTCAATATGACAGGAAAGATAATCTTATCTTTGCAAGATCAATTGGGAGGCTCAAGATAACAATTAGAATACAAAAAAAGAGGAGGGAATATGGAGAGGAGAAACTTATTTTTTAAAATAATAAATCTTTATAATCCTGTATTAGATCTAAGATATGACACTAAAAGCAAAGCAATGAAAGATAGAATAGACAAATAGGACTTCATAAAAATCTTTTAAAACATGCTTCAAAGTAAACCATCAAGAAAGTTAAGAAACAGCATAAAGAATGGGAGAAAATATTTGCAAACCACATATCTGATGAGGAACTTGCATCTAGAATACATAAAAAAAACCTCTTACTATTCAATAATCAAAACATGAATCACCAGTATAAAAATGGCTGAAGGATTTGGATAGGCATTTCTCTGAAGAAATCCAAAGAAAATACGCAAATAGCTAAAAAGCACACTGCTATGGTGTAAATATCTGTCCCCTCCAAAACTCAAGTTGAAATTTGGTTGCCATTGTGGTAGTGTTAAGAGATGGGATCTTTGGGAGGTGACTGGGTCATGAGGAGTCTGCCCTCATGGGTGTGATTCATGCCCTTATGAAAGGGGGAGTTCAGCCCCCTTTTGCCTCTCTTCCTTTCTGCATTTTGCCATGTGAGGATGCAGCAAGAAGACCCTTGCCAGATGCTGGCACTTTGATCTTGGACTTTCAGTCTCCAGAACTGTGAGAAAATAAATTTCTGTTCATTACAAATCACTCAGTCTGTGGTATTCCATTATATCAGCACAAATGGGACTAAGGCACACACAAAGGTATACTTAATACATTAGCCTTCAGGGGAATACAAATCAAAACCACAATGAGATACCACTTCATATCCACCAGGATAGATATAATTAAAAAGGCATATAATAACAAGTGTTGGCAAGAATGTGAAGAAATTAGAACCCTTATACACTGATGGTAAGAATATAAAATGGTATAGCCATTTTGGACAACAGTCTGTCAATTTCTCAAATGATTAAACACAGAGTTACCATATGACACAAAATAAATGACTCGAGAAATGAAAACATATGTTCACACAAAAAATTGTACATGAGTGTTCACAGCAGCATTATACATAGTAGCAAAAAAGGAGAACAACCCAAATGTCCATCAACTGATGAATGGATAAATCAAATGCAGTATATCCACACAATGGAATGTTATTTCAGCCAAAAAAGAAAAGAAGCAGGGAAGGGGAAAAGTAACTTTACAGTGGAGAGACCTGACAAACACTACTTAATGCAAGTGATCAAGGTCAACATCAACAATTATAAATCATGTTGACAATATGTACCCTTGATATGATTTAATGACAATGGCACTTTGTTTCTATTATCTTCCTCTCAAAAGTCCATACCCCTAGCATAATCATGACTTTTGACAAAGGTGCCAAAACCATTCAATGGGGGAGGGACAGTCTCTTCAACAAACGATGCTGAGAAAATTGGATATTCACACGCAAAATAATAATAATAATTATAAAGTTGGGTCCTTACCTAACACCGTATACAAAATTTAACTCAAAATGAATTCAGGATCTAAATGTAAAACTATATATACCTAAGAATAAAACTTACGGGGAACATTCCATAATATTGGATTTGTCAATGATTTCTTAGATATGACACCAAAGGTACAGCAAACTAAATAAAAAAATAGATAAATTGGACTTCAAAATGAAAAACTTTTGTGCATCAAAGGATACTATCAACAAGTAAAAACACAACCTACAGAATGGGAGAAAATATTAACATATCACATATCTGATAAGAAATCAATATCCAGAATATATAGAGAACTCTTAAACCTCAACAACAAAAAAAGAAACAACCCAATTCAAACATAAGCAGAGGGCTTGAATAGATATTTCTTCAAACAAGATATACGAATGGCCAATAAGTACATGAAAAGAGGTTCAACATCACTAATCATTAGGGAAATACAAATCAAAATCACAAGATAGCACAATGAGAAAAATGTCAAACAAATTCTGATACAGGGACATTCTGACCAGTACCCCTCAAAACTGTCAAGGCTAACAAAAACAAGGAAAGTCTGAGAAACTGTTACAGTCAAGAGGTACCTAAGAAGACATGACAACTAACTATTATGTAGTATTATCCTGGATAAAATCCTTGAACAGAAAAAGGACATTAAGTAAAAATTTAAGAAATCTGAATTATGGACTTCAGTTAATAATAACATATCAATATAAGTTCATTAATTATAATACATATATCATAAAAAATTAGATGTTAATAATAGGGAAAACTGGCAGGGAGGGGTGTAATGGGGGAACTCTTTATAATATCTGTTCAATTTCTCTGTAAATCTAAAGCTGTTCTAAAAAATAAAGTCTATTAATAAAAACTGAAGGAGAATTGCTTAACCTGGGAGGTGGAGGTTGCAGTGAGCTGAGATCGCACCACTGCACTCCAGCCTTGGCGACAAGGGCAAAACCCTGTCATAAAAAAAAAAAAAAAAAAAAAAAAAAAAAAAAAAAAAACACTGAAAAAAGGAATCTATGCAAAGTAAAAAATTTAAAAAATGATTAGAAAGAGAACTAAAGTGCTGAAACATGCTACAACATGAATGAAGGTTGAAAGCATCATGCTATGTGAAAGAAACCAGTCACAAAAGACCACATATTCCATTTATATGAAAAATATCCAGAAAAGGAAGTAGATGAGTGATTGCCAGGGGCAGAAGAATCCGTGCAGGGGAGGGTTAAGGTGCAATAGGCAATAAATGCTAAAGGGTACAGGGTTTCTTTTGGGGGTGATGAAAATGTTCTAAAATTAATTGTGGTCATGGTTGCACAGCTCTGTAAATAAACTGCCTACTACAAAACACTGAACTATACACTTTAAATAGGTGAATGTTATGGTATGGGAATTATATCCCAATAAACCTGTCATTAAATAATGGCATATAATTTCTCAGAGTTAAAAACACATATTCAGATCACAAGGGTTCACTAAGTGTCTAGCAAAATAATAAAAATACACCCATATACTAAATAAGTAAATGAATGAGAAGAGAAAGCTTTTCCTTACAGTACAATCTCAGTTAATAAATGAAGGAATGATGGAAACAGAAAATCACTATTTGGCAGATACCACAGAATTAACTGTTCCAGTCAAGAATCATCATACTTTCATATTTTTTTCATAATACTAAAATTAGTGGATGAAAGAATGAGAAAAAGTACATTTACATAGTCTCAAGTTATCTCCCCACAAGATACTTATTAATTATAAAGGGAAAATAGTAACTTTACAATAGAGAAACTTGGCAAACACCTCCTTAACCACATGATCAAAGTTAACATCACCAGTAGTAAGATCCAGATATCATAAGTCCTTTTGATATGATGCACTCAAAAGGACCCAATATCACTTCTGAGTATTCCTGACAAAAACGTATAACCTGAATTTAATCATGAGAAAACATCATACAAACCAAAATTAAAGTCTCGTGTAGGCTAGCCTTAATTCTCCAACTAAAATTTAGATTTCTTGTGATTAGCAATCATATTATACATTCATTATGAATTTCTCAAATGTCTGAGAAGTACCAAGTACAGATTAATCAATACCAGATATGGCAACAACATGGCATTAGACTGGGTTACAGTCCCCACTATGCCACTTCTTTGTATAAGACCCTGAACAACTCAACCCCTTGGAATCTAGATTTTCCTCTCTATAAACATACTTGCACTCTGGCTATTTCATTGTGTGGATCTGAGGAACAAACGAGATAATGCATATAAAGACACTTTTTTGAAATCACAGAGCACTATGCCAATGGAAGCCTTTTTTTTTTTTTTTTTTTTTTTTTTTTTTTTTTTTTTTTTTTTTTGAGACAGGGTCTTGCTCTGTCACCCAGACTGGAGTGCAGTGGCATGATCATGGCTCACTGCAGCCTTGGCCTCCTGGGCCTAAGCGATCCTCCCACCTCAGCCTCCCAAGTAGCTAGGACCACAGACATGCACCACCACACCTGGCTAATTTTTATAGAGACAGGTCTCTCTATATTGCCCAGGCTGGTATTGAACTCCCAGGCTCAAGTGATCCGCCTGCCACCTCAGCCTCCCAAAGTGCTAAGATCACAGGCATGAGCCACCACACCTGGCCAGAAGCCATTATTATCAACTTTTCACATAAAATAATTTCAGAGCTATTGTTTAAAACAGTTTCAACTTACCTTGAAAATCAGAATCATCCTGTGTTAAAATACTCAAGAACCCTCCTAAAAGATTTTTCACAGTTCCCTGAAGATTAAAAAAAATACAAAATTAAATTACTTACCTCACAGAAGCATGAAACAACTGCAATGTCATAATAAATTCTATGATAGGGTATCTACTATATATGTATATATGTATTTAAAAATGACTAAAAAGACTACTATGTGTAGGATTATACTAATTTTCATTTTCTTTTTATACTGATTGATTTTTCAAAACAGCGAGCATGTATTAAAATTAAATGCATTTTTAAAAATATTACCCAGTCTCAGAAATAGATGAGGATTTACTACTGGCTAGCAAAGGACATTAATTTTCTATGCTACTTTAGAAAACTATGGAATTAGAAGATTTTGGAATACCACTTGTAGGTATTCACCTGAGGTACCAGAAAAGATAAGTAATCATCTCAAATAATTTTCAGAAAAGCTGGGTTATACATAAGGAGATGTTATTGGGTGATGAGTCTGATAAATATTGATCACATTTAACTAAATGAATTTTTTACCTGTTGCATGAGCAGAAAAACATTCTTTTCTTTCTGCCTAATAATTTTCAAAAAACTCTCAAATACATGGGCAAGCACATCAAGTTTGGCTTTACTAGCAGAAAGCAAATTTAATTCCAGCATACAAATCTCAGGATAAATTATTTCCCCTTGAGTGAGGTTTTCGAGTAAGTCATTTGGACTGCTTGATGCACTGAAACCTTCTGTTTCAGACTTTAAGTCTACCCCTGAAAAGAGAAAAGCGAAAGATTACTTGTATTCCCTAAACACTAAATATTTCAAACTTCATTAATCATTTAGAAGATCTAGTGGCAAAAATAGTAATTCAGAGGATGCTTACAAAACCTTTTCCAATCTTTTCCTATAACACAACTTTTGACAATGATATGGAAATTTTGAAGATTAATGAGTTCCCTTAAAAGCAATTTTCATCTTCAATAGAACTACAAATTTTACAAATAAGAATTTTTACAGACATATGATAGAGATTTAACACATCCCATGGACACAACTTTAAAAAAAAAAAACCTATTCAAACTTTCTGACCCCCCCCTCAAATACCTAAATCACAGAGCAGTTCAATTTGCCTACCCAAATCTTTGTGAAAATAGTAGGCTTGACTAGTGGTTGGAAGAATGATCAATTTTGCCTTCTTCATAAGTGAGAAACAGACTCTGTCTTATTGAATATTGCATTTTGGAAAATTTGACTTATATGATCTTTTAAGACTGCTGTGCTCTTAATAAAATGTTGATACAGTTAAGAAATTTATAAATTTCTACCTAGATCAGAATTCTTTAAGTTGAGATCTACTTAGCAAACATAAAAAAGGAGGAAATCCAAAATTATAAAGTCAAATCTGTACTATGGTAAGCTGTACTATAAAAAAATTAATAAACCAATATTTTTTCAAAAAGCACCAGTCATGGGTCCATCAAGCCCTTTAAGTAAGATATCAGTGATTATTCCCATTCACTAGATGAGAGCGAGAAAACTGACTGTGAGGAAGATATCCTACTGAGAACTCAGTGAAGACTAGCAGTGGCTGGGTGCGGTGGCTCACGCCTGTAATCCCAGCACTTTGGGAGGCCGAGGCGGGTGGATCACGAAGTCAGGAGTTCGAGACTAGCCTGGGCAACATGGTGAAACCCCATCTCTACTAAAAATATAACAATTAGCTGGGCATGGTGGCGGGCTCCTGAAATCCTAGCTACTTGGGAGGCAGAGGTAGAAGAATAGCTTGAACCTGGGAGATGGAGGTTGCAGTGAGTCGAGATCACGCCACTGCACTCTAGCCTGGGCGACAGAGCAAGACTCCATTTCAAAAAAAAAAAAAAAAAAAAAAAAAAACTAGCAGTACTGGGACACTCACAAGGTCAGCATATAAAAAGATGGAGTCTTGCCAGAAGTCTCTTGGCTCTAATCAACCCATCTTTTCCATTCTACTCATTTTAAGTCCAAAGACAAGGGAGGAAAGGATCATAGGCAATATAGTTCCATCCTAAAGACAAATTGAGCTGTGGTAAACTAAGAAGAAATCTATGCTTGGCTGTCACAGACAGGTGTCTGCATTCCTGTATTATGTATTCTTTATAACAAACTGCCTGAATGCTCTTCCTGCCAGTGTTTGTCTGCCTAGCTTGTTTTCATTTAGTCCTCAATGTAAACATTGCCTCTTCAGAAAGGACTTCCCTCACCACCCAGTTACTAATACGACATCACCCAGTTTATCGATTTCTATTTTATTATCTATTTCTGGTATTTATTGTCTTTCACACTAGAATATACATGAAATTGGGGACTCTGTCCTTCACTCCATGTTCTTAACCACTCAGATGATGTTTGTGATAACAAACTATATCACATTGTTGCATATATGAATGCCAGACTGTTGGGAAGATCAATAAAAAGATTATGCAACACACTTGTTAAACTGTAAGGCAATACAAAATTCTAAAGTGGTATTATTATGAACCATTTTGCTATTTAATGATCTGGCTTGCAGATCTAATTACAAGCACTTCAATGATATTTTACCATCATCCTGGGTTTCGCCATCTTCAGGATTGCTTTCACTATCTGCTTCGTAACCTTCTTCTTCAACTAAAAGTTTAAAACTACAACACTGAGAATCCTCAGCTTCTTCTGAAAAATCACCAGGCTGGGATGACAATTCTTCTGCAGATTGATGACTCTATAAATCAGTGTAATTCAAAGGTTGTAACATTTGCTTGTTTTTAGTAATAGAATACTTATTACTCAAAAGTCATGTTAAGGACAGTTTCAATATTTTCTTGAAGAAAAAAACTTAGTAAACAATATGAATCATTATAAATTATGAAATTCACTCAGCAAAATTTCCCAGATCCTTTCAGACAACTTAATACCTCAAAAAGGGGGTTTCTAACAAAGTAAGTTATAGGTCATTTCAGTTTAATAAATAAATCTATGTAAGAAATTTCATTCTAGTTATACAATTGGAAATGACAAAAAACCACAATGTGGTAAAATTTTACTTCATACAATTTAATACTAATATATATTATTTGTGCACATTTGTTAATAAAAAAGATTTTTTCATAAGGATTTTTATAAATGCCTTATAAGTTAGGTAACTAGAGCAGACAAGACATTTTTTTCAAAGGGATTAATTAAAAGATCTCAGAATGCAACTGTCTACATAACAAGCATCTCAGAAGTCAAGAGTTCCAGTACTAACTTCCTGTGTAAGAAAGAAATTTTCCTTTTCTTATAAAAATTCCACTAATACCTTCATTTTAGAAAACATTTTCACTTAAAGAAGCTCAGAATACTTCATCATTGTAACAACAATAAAAGGTAGAATAAAGTAGGTATTTTAACATTTTACAGTTAGTCAATTAATTCAGTAATATGATGAACGTATTCATAGCTATTTCAGCATGTTTTTAAGTTATGGCAAATAGTAACATAAAATGTTATTTCAAAACCTTATAAAACATTATATATATGGCTAGATCAAGGAGCTAAAAGGAGAAGTTATATAAAAAATAAAGGACAGATGGCAACTAAAGGTAAAATAAACATAAAATGAGAGGGAAACAAGCCAATTATGTACCACATAATTTTAGGAAAGAAAATTACAACAGTTGTTTTAGGAAAAAATGTTAAACAACTAAAACACTGTGACTGCTATTTTCTATGTAGGCACTAGTCATTTTTATGTTGAATGATTTAAAATTAATGTGAGTAGAGAGTTCTGGAAATATTAGCTATACCACCAAAGAACCAGATAGGATAGGTAAATCACCACCATCCCTGAATTAGCATTTAATACACTATCAGGTATATGTAAAATATACCAAATCAAGTAATATATTTCTGTCTTAACTCGAAGTAATTCTCAGTAAATTTCCAGATTAGATAAGGAAAAGCTTATCATATCACTCTCCTGTTATGTATAAGACAGGGCAATGACAAAATACTGTCCATCCCATCACATATCCATCACGAGGAGATAAGATCCACTGAACTCATCTGACCAAGTCCTAGTCCATATGCTCTAATGACATTCATCAGCGTCCTAGTGTCATCCCACACTTCCGCCTCTGCTGGTCATACCCAAAGAACACAACTATATGTTGTTATTCATACCTTCTCAGTCATAGCATCATTATGTTCAAAATCTGCTGAATAATTCCCGAGGGCAACTCGAAGCAGGGCATCAAATAAAGGCTTTGCTAGTTGTGTTTCAATCACCTTTGACTGGGAAAGATGGTCCCTCATTTCAAATAATATACTTTCCACAGACAAGTTCTAAGGTAAAATAAAAGAGACTAAGAATATTAATAACCATTTTAAAAAACTAAATGATGAAAAAATAAATAATAAATATTTACTTAAGTATAAAGCTAATCCATTTATTTGCAGTTGATATGAAAGCAAAATGACTATATAAATATCTAGCTCTATACAAACATCCTGTTAAAATTAATAACATTTTTATTGATAAAATACTTAGTTCATCTTATTTGGTTTTCATTGCAGCATGGTAAAGAATGGCAAGAAATGAAGCTAAGCGAAGAAGTCAAAGCAAGACTGAAGAGTTTTGTGTGCTGTGTTAAAGCTTGTGAATTTCAATTGTGGAAATTCAGTGTGGAAGCATCAGGATTTTTTAGAGATAAGGCAACATGGAGGCTGGAACTGAAGTAGGAAGAGCCTGTTGGCTGACTGAACAGTTAGGTGTAAGTTAGTGAGGACAGAAGAGGTCTGCCATATTCCAGGTCCCTAGATTCCTTTTTAGTTGAGAAATGATCTCAGGAGAAAACTTGTAAGAATGTGAGGTAAAGCAGAAGAGGTTAGGAGAAGAATCTGGACAAAGATGTGGTTTTAGGAGAAGTCTCGTCCCAGCCTCATTTCCTGGGAAGCTCTGGAGCCTGAAGTGCCCCACAATGATTGTCCCCACTTCTTAGAGCCACATCTATCAGCATTAGCTATGAGCATCCTTCCCAGGCATCTTCCATCGGTCAAGGGTGATTCCTGGAAGATGGGTGCTGATGCGCAGATGGTGAATGGGTGATCAGTTTGGTAAAGGAGTTCTGGGCAGGGCAGCCAACAGTATCACACAAAAATTTAGATCTTTCAACTTTGAAACACAATATCCATTATTATTCATCTGACACTTATAAAATGTGTGTGTGTGTATGTGTATATATACATAAAACATAATATATACACATATATAAAAGTAATATATTATATGTTATATATAACACAATAATATATATATTACATATATTATGTAATACATATTACATTTTTTATATATATATGTGTGTGTGTATATATATGTATATATATTACATAAGAGTTGGACTAAGGACAAGGTATTACCTGATTAGGTAACTCCAATTCCATCTTCTGTTGACTAGTTCTGGCACCATGAAGACAAATGGCCAGAAGGGCTTCCAAAAGTCGTATACTTTGAAGTGAGGTCTCACTTTCTTGACTTGTAAATAGCTTTGCTTCCTCGGGAGCGGCTTCAGTAGCTGAAACTTCTTCCACATTTATGGAAGAAATATGCTGTAACTCTAATTTACCTAAACTGTCAGCACTCTTTTTTAGACTACCTAGTTCTGATGGTATGGGGTCACTTTTTATAGCCAAAGATAATAAATCTTCCTTCATAGTTCTCTTAGGTTGAGAAATTCTGTTTAAATCCTGGTTTTCATTTACACTTGTATCTCCCTCCTTTTTTCCTTGCTCCTCTTTGTGACTTCTGAACAGTTTCTGTATTATCATAAATATTAACTTATGGCATACTCGGAAACCACCAAGCCTATAAAACTGTTTCTGGAACACTGAACTCAACATGTAGATCCAACGACACATAGACCAAATGTCTGCTGCTTGGTGCATATGTTCAGGAGAAGGCAAGACAAGGCTCTCGAGAGATATACATGGCAGCATATGACTTAAAGGCTCGCTGGCTGTGCTGTCATAGCCAGAAGTATCTTCTGAGTCATTGGCCGACTCCCTGTCAGACTCTGCTTCTTTACTTACGCATAAAAAAGCCACACAGAGGAATAGGTTTATTGTGTTGATATGAACATCTTGGTTAACAGTCTTCCGTCTCTTTGGATAAGCTTCTTTGAGGCCAGCATAAAATTTGCTGAGACTCTGAGGAGAATCTGAATAAGCTTGCTGATGATGAAAAGAAGTACCCACATGTACAGAGGACAACTCCTTCTGTTCAATGTCTATCCCATCAATATCTGGAACTGAGGCATCTTTCTGTTGCTCCCCTAGGCTGATTATCAGAGTTTCAAATGCTTTTAGAGAATGACTTCGAATACCATTTAAGCAATTTAATTCGATTATTTGACTTACTCCATTACAACTCAAAAACAAATCTCTTATTACCCTGTGAAAGAAAAAAAGCATGTAAAAAGGTTTAAATAAAGAAACATCATTTATAAATAGGTACATATAATATTTAATATATCGCTATTGCATGTGGGATATACTAACCACTACCTAATTTTATTCATCAATTATCAGGCTAAAGTTCTTAGTTAGATATAATTAGGACCTCAAGTTACTTTCTAATTACTCTGATATCCTTCTTCAAACATTTGTATATATGGCTCCAGCAGTATCTAAAAAGAAAAGATTGCCTGTCCCACATTAAATGAAGCAATTCAGGGAAGAATATTTTTCTCCAAATGGCAAATTCTATATAAATTCTGAACACCACAGCCACCACCACACCTGAGGTGGACACCCTGAGGGCAGGCAAGCACGTGTTTGTTCATTAGTTTGTCCGCCTGATGGTTCACTTGGGAATTTTTGTTTACTTTAAATCTATACCTTATGAAGGGAAAGAATCACACTAGAGCTGAAAATCTACGGAAGGCTCAGCATCACATGAATTTCCCTTCTAATTGGGCTAATTGAACAGTCAATGGTACAAATATTATAAAAGTTTTTCAGCTCTGTCTCAGGTGAGACTTGTGTCTAGATCATTGGAATCCTAGTAATAACTTTAATATAAGCCAGCTAGGTGATTCTCAGCCCTTTCATCACAAAGATTCAGGTTGTCCACGAATACGCCAAAGAGTTACAAAACTTTCAAATCAGTCAGTTCTAGTTAAACAATGCCAAAATGTCAGAAAAATTTTTAAATGACTGTAAGGCATTGATTTAACATCAATAATAGTTTTAAAGTAGTTGTGCTAAGATTGACCAAAAAATGCCACACACGAAGATATTGATAGGTTATTTTTGTATAAGTTTCTAAAATGGTATATGCATTAATTTGAAAGACCAGTCTACCCATTCGTTTATAAAATTATTTTTAAATGCACCAGATTTGGCAATCACAAAGTCTGGAAAACTCACTGATAGGATTAAAAGTAATTTTAATATTCTTATTTTTGTTTATCTATATTTTCTAATTTTTCTACATATATTGCAGAGGTTATAAATGTAAATATAATATTTTAAAATTAATAATCCCATTAGTGCCTCTGCCTCAATAATCATTTTATGTATTATTTTACATGTAATACATATTTTACATAGTTGTAAATAAGTGAACACTATTTTAATTGTTTATATTTTACCCATAAGATATTATAATCATTTTCTCATATTCCAATATGATCTTTGTAAACATTTTCAATGGCCAATAATATTCTATCAAGGAAATATAAAGTAATTAAACTTGCCCTGCTCTTGGATATCTGTGTTTCATCTACGTTTTTCTCAGTTGTATATCTAAAACTTTTCTTTTTGTTGAGAAATTAAAATCAATGGCTGTATCCTCTTCTCTATAAACAGCTCAGTAAAAAATGCATACATACATAAACAAATGGTTAAAACAAATCTGACATGGAAGGAGAACATTTTTTGTTGACAAATTGAAATTAAATCCTAGGAAAGAATAAAGAGTAAATACGATCACACTGCTGCCAAAGCCCTGGAGATATCAGTGTTAGAAGTTTAAATGCATACAATTTATCACTCACTTGAAAGCATCCAATGAAAAAGATCTAGACATGCTCAACAACCCCCGCCCCCGCCGCCACCCACACACATACAAACCTGGATTTAAGCAGGATAGGCAGAGTTTTTACATAAATCTGAAGCACGTCCTGAGGCAAGCACTGGTTATGATGGCTACATACATGACTTTGAGCTGAAGTAACGCTTAGGTGTTGACAATGATGTGCTAATTCAACTCCTCTTTGGAGCACAGGATTAAATATGTAATTATATAATTTCCACTGAACAACTATATTGCCTTTCTGGATTAAATTGCAAATGTGATTTGCAATCTGTATACTATGTAATCTGTCTTCTTCAAAAACAAAGTTCTGATAAGCCTTTAAAGCATCCCATTTCCACAACAAATCTTCAGATCCACTGCTGGGCAGGATCCCTTGAAATCTGTAAGAAGGACTGGATAAACTTGAGGAGAGTTCAGCATCACATAAGTTTCCCTGCAGTGTCTCTTCTAATTGGGCTAGTTGGTCAGAGTCAACAGTACAAATATTACAAGCTGCTTTTTTAATTTTTGGTGATATCTCTGCTCCTCCTAACTGATCCAAAATAAGTTTGTTAAGGATATTCAATATATGCTGCTGAAAATTTTTCAGTGCTGGCAATTTAAAAGCATGGAGCAAAGGAATGATTACAGATTTGGGATCCATACAACAGCATATTCCAATGTTATGAACACCCGATAGGATCTGGACACAAGTGCTGCTCAAGGAAGCCTGCTGTAGTAAGCGCAAGCACTGATGGGCACACACTGCAATGCAACAGCACCGCTCAGGATAATAAACATCTCCATCTGCAGTCTCTTCAAATGGGTTTTTGGAAACCTGGTTTTTAAAAGCCGAAACCAGAAGACCTGAGAGATCTCGGTGATGATGCATAAAATGAGAATATTCACATCGTCTGTGCCTTTTTCTTGTACACATCGAATGATGAAGTTGCTCTGATTTCACTTTTTTGACAGTGCTCATTATTTTCATCACACTATTTATTAGGGCTTTCAAATGCTCTGAGGCCTCGGGAGGAACTCCATCTCTTAAAACCAGCCATTCCATTTGAAGAACTGCTGTTTCAAATAAATTAAATCCATGATGCTGAATGAATTCTTGAACCAAATCCATGGCTTGACTGAAGTAGAAGGGATTTGAAGCTGCACTTTGAAGACAACAGATCAGAATCTGAAGAACTCCTTCCAAAAGCTCAGGTAAAAGAAGGGCTCTATGACGATACTTTGAAAACACAAAATCTTCCTGAACCTCCTGCAGTGTTTTCTTTTGTCTTGGTGCAAAAGGGTCAGGCTGCTTTTCTAGGCATATTCTAATTTTTAAAGCTGCTCTAAGCAATTCAGTTAAATTTTTCCTAAGATTTTCTGGCATCATCTCTGCAGTACTAACATCTACTGACAGAAGATGCAACACTGTTCGAAAGAGCATCCTTTGAATCAAAGCCACCGGTTCTTCGGTCCAACCTGCAGAAACTACTCGACTCTCCAAGTTGTCGCTCAGACTGCAGCAGTCCCCAAAGCCTGCTAGGAATTCAGTTAGTGTGGGCACTACACTGGCTGCTAAAGGAGAATTATGATTCAAGGTAACGTCAAACTTACAAACTTTTTCTAATAAAGATAACAAAACATGACATAAGTCAAATGGAGAATTGTTCATGTTACTGATAACAGACAAGGCAGCTGGCTCACTTAAAATGTCAGTGTTTGACCCCTGTCTTGGAATAATCTCTCTGGAATTTTCCAAAGCCATAGCATCTGGAGGAGTCTGTTCTTTGGTTGCTAAGCGGTCAAGTTTAGCTTTGGGGTGGTCTTGTTTAGGAAACGATGTTAAAAAATGATGCAGCAGATGGGGCCTTCTATGCTTATTCATTGCTATGCCTTTTTCATCTGAATTGGCTTCTGAATCTGAGGTGGAGAGCTGTGTCTTTCTTGCATCTCTTACAGAATAGCGATGGGTAATTTTACGCTGTCGTCTGCTTTTTCGAAAAACATTTACTTTTGCAGAAACCTGACTAGACAGGGCACTTCCTTCTAAATGTAATTTTTCCTGAGTGGATCTTTGTGAACTTGAGTTCTTTTCTTTGGTCAGGATTATATCTGCTGAGAGCGGTAGGTTAAAATCTAATGGAATGAAAAAAGAAGGCTTAGAATACCTCAATATGTTTTAAAACTCAATTTTAAGGTGACAGCCCTCTTATTTATCTTAAACCCACTAAAGGAGTTTATCCTCAATGTATTTTGCTGCAGGGCTGATTTCCTTCATTTATGTCATATCTCTGGGTTACCTCCTCTCACACTTATCCTTACTCTAAACACTAGCTGACATTAGTTCAAAGGATACAAATTGATTTTTAAAACAACAAAACAGAGGCACACCTATACTTACTCTAAACACTAGCTGACATTACTTCAAAGGATACAAACTGATTTTTAAAACAACAAAAGAGAGGCTGGGTGAGGTGGCTTATGCCTGTAATCCCAGCACTTTGGGAGACTGAGGCGGGTGGGATCACTTGAGGTCAAGAGTTTGAGACCAGCCTGGCCAACACGGTGAAACCCTGTCTCTAGTAAAAATACAAAAATTAGTCAGATGTGGTGGTGCACGCCTGTAATCCCAGCTACTTGGGAGCCTGAGGCAGGAGAATCTCTTGAACCTGGGAGGCAGAGGTTGCAGTGAGATGAGATCGTGCCACTGCACTCCAGCCCAGGTGACAGAGTGAGACTCTGTCTCAAAACAACAACAACAAACAAAAGAGAACAGAGTTAAGAAAGTAAATCTGATTTAAAACTATATATTATATTCTAACTTCAACATAAGAGATGCTGTAGATTATCTGGTATTTAGTGCTGTTGTTCACACCATTTACAAATCTCTTCCCATAGTACCACTAATTAAAATGTAAGGATGTATTATATTCTCAAAAATAGTATTCATAGACCTGATATAATTTAACTACTTTAAGATTTTTCTAAAATTATTTCAAAATCATACACTATATGCCAAATGTTCTCTAAAACTGAGGTTTAAATAATTCTTTATTCAAATTATTTCTCAAATGTTTCAGCACTGAACTAGGCACCAGGTATAGACACTATTATTTCATCCCCGGTGCCTAGATAGGGCCTGGCGTATGGTCAACACTCAGTAAATACTTCACAGGGGAAATGAATGAATTCTCCCTTTAACTAAAAAGATAATTAGATCAGTCTTTCTCTTTGCAGTATGTAGTAAGAGCTATATAAAAAAGTAGCTGTAATTTAGAGTGAATAAATTAAAATCTGTAAATAAAAAAATCTGTGCTTTACTAAGACAGGGAAAGCAAACCAGATGGGAAGAGGAGAAATTAAAAGGAGTCTGACAAATTCCACCCAAGCAAAAGATGCAGACAATGAAGACAACTTCCCCCAAAGAGCATTAATCAGATTTCTTAAGTGATTAACAATTTGTGAATTCTGCAAACTCAGAAAAAAATAAAAGCAGAGAGTTAGTGAATCAATAAATAAGCAGAAAAACAGTATTACAAAACCTTAGATACCTCCTTAAAAAAAGCTCCATGAAATTCACTAAAAATACAGGAATTAAAATACAATAATTTTTTTTTTAACCTGAGAGATCTTCAAACATCTCACAAACATGTCACAAGAAAGGGTCAAGAGGAAAACTATTAATCTCTCCAATGAAACATTTAAAGTTTCATGTACTTTATAGACATATGATTTCTTCAAAATCATAAATTAAAAATATCTATCGACCTTACATAGAATAATTCTACCCAAGCTTGAAACAAAATATTAAATATATCCTTTAGGCTGGGCACGGTGGCTCATGCCTGTAATCCCAGCACTTTGGGAGGCTGTGGTGGGCAGATTACTTGAGGTCAGGAGTTTGAGACCAGCCTGGCCAACATGGTGAAATCCCATCTGTATGTACTAAAATGCAAAAATTAGTCTGGCATGGTGGTGCACGACTGTAATCCCATCTACTCAGGAGGCTGAGGCACAAGAATTGCTTGAACTCGGGAGGCTGAGGTTGCAGTGAGCCGAGATCACTCCACTGCCCTCCAACCTGGGTGACAGAGTGAGACTCTGCCTAAAAAAAAAAAAAAAAAATTATACTTTAAAGGCAACACTAGAAAAACTAAGCTAAAACAAATACTGCAAAAGTCACTTATAGAATACTGGTAATAGAAAGCAGTCTTTAAAATAAGCAAAGAAACTTTAATTTCTTTATTCAGACTTTTCACTTCCAACTTTTCACTATCCATTTTTCTGATGTTATGCTGCACACCTAGACTCACTCCTTCTGATAAGTGTTTCTGCTTCTTTATACATTTTCTAATCATCAGTACATTCAAGTACTTCCCCCAAGAAGCACCATGGTTTTTGTATTATTGAAGGAAAAATGTGTTTGCCTAAATAATTTTTCATATTTAGTATGAATAAATCACAATAACATATAGTGTTCTGAATCTGAATCAGAATCAAACATTCAGGCAGAAGTAACTTTTCTATGAAATTTTGATAACACAAGTGATATGATAAAGGGAAAAAGCATACCTGTTGCCTTTTCTTCTTGGACAGGTATCTTCCATACCAGTGGAAGGAGAGACAGAAGAAGAGTCAGGAGTTCTTCTCTACATGTCAATGCCTATGTCAGTAACAAAAGAATCCTTCATGTTCTAAGGCGATAAGACACATCAGTTCCTAATGTCTTGTCTTAAACTGAACCAAAAAATCCTTTTTCTTGAAAGTCTGCATTTGAAAAGCTAAGAATCAAATTAACCTATCTTCAATCCAGTTAAAGCTGTGATACTTTTAAGTTTATAAGCCTTTCTAATGATAGAAGAATCTAAGAGTATTTGACAGTATTTAGCACACTCCTGCTGATATTTCCAAAAATAGCTGTTATTACCACCATGCACATTGCAAGAATTCCTTACCTATGAAGAAACAGATTTGCTAGGTGAAAATGAAAAGTTAAGCCCTATTAATTAGCAAAGCAATGCTACAAAGTTACTAGAAAAATGTGAAGCCTTCATGCAGTTAAATGAAAAACTCAGAGACGATTTTAAAAGAGAAATTGACATTATTAATAAATAATATATAAGGAGAGAAAGACTTATTAGTGAATGTAATCCAATAAATATTTATTGACTGCATACTATGTCCACAAAAATACTGTCTTACCCTTTCTGGAGGATATGGTCCAAGCCCTGGAGAAGGTCCCCTCATTTGGTCCATAAAATACATACACATAAACAGTTAAAGAACAGCAGAAGGCATGTAGTATGAGTAAGTATCCAGGGGTGGTAGAAGCATTCAGTTTAGGAGTTCAGAAAAAGGAGCAGTCATTATCAGAAGTATGGAAGGAGAATGGGAGCTAGAGAGCTAGACCTGGGACACCTGGGACATGGGTAGTAAAGGATTTAACGACAAATCAAGTTTGAGTTCTCGCCTTACACCAATCAGTGGGAGAGGGGGTCGCATGATGACACAATCAGATTTGCTGAACAGAATTAGTTGGAAGGGGAAGCAGTGTTAGAGGCAGGGTAACAATAATCCAGATGAGAGAGATGATGACTTTCTGAAGTACTCCAACAACAGAAGGGAAAAGGAGACATATTTGAGAAACTGTAAGGTAGAACTAAAATAACTTGCAGTTGATTATCTATGGCACATAAGGGAGAAAAGAAAAGATCTAAAAGGACCCACAGGTTACTGGTTTCAGCATCTAGGTAGCTGATAATGTATTCACCAAGACAGGAAATTTACAAGTGGTATTAGGTTGGGATAAAGATGATGGATTCACTTTTCAGACATATGGAGTCTGAGACGTCTATGCACTATCCTAATGAAGACAGCTTTTTAGTAGACAGTAAATATATAGATCTGGAACTTAAAAAAATATGAAGTAAATAACAAGATTTAGGAGTAATTGGGGTGGAAGGCAAGAAGATATGTGAATTTTCCCAGGGTGAGAATATAGAATGACAATAGAAGACCATCAAGAATGAAACTCCGGACTTTAAAGACTTAAAGATGGGCAATGCTAAAGAAAAGGCTGAAAAGGCTTCTATTGAAAAATAGCCCCAAGAAAGAGAAGTACAACCAGAGAAACCAAGGAAGAGACCAGTTCAGGAAAGAAAGGAGTCAGCAGGGCCAAAGCTGTTGCCCTTTCACTGTGTGACATGATGGCCGAAAAGCATTTAGTAACTGGAATGCCCCTTAACTAACGGCTTTAATGGAGTGATTTGACTGCAACTCCAATTACAATAGGCTGAGGAGTCAAAGGAAGTGAGAAAGTAAAGACAGGACATTCAGACTACTCCTTCTGGTGTCCTGGTTGTGAAAAGGCTCAGAATTCTTCAAAAAAGGGGTTTAGTAAAATCTAAACCCCTTTTTAGGTATAGAAAACCCTTCACGGCAATGATTCCTGTTGAGCTGTCCAGTGTCAGCTCCCTCTGCCACACATGAGCCCTCCGCATACATCTAGCTGGTAAAGGTTTCCCCTGAAAACTACTGGTCTCTGTGCTCCCAATAGGTCTTCCTCACATACACTGTTTCTGCAATTCTCCATCCCCATCCTCCCATCTGCCAAACTGCAACTCATTCTCTAGGTTTTTAGTTCCTCTGTGGGGAGACTTCTCTAACACCCTACCTGCTTCCCTTAGTAAACTTAGCTTTCATGTTCCTGATTTGCTTCCATTCCAGCAAACACCCTGCTGAAGTGTTACTGTCTGAATGCCCATTTTCCTCTTTTATCCGTTAAACAAATATTTCTTGATCCCCCTACTAAACAGGCCAGGCACTGTGTCAGGTACTTCAAATGCTGTAGTGAACACAATATCCATATCCTCATGAAGCCTACTTCCTAGCACAGGAGACAGAAAATAATGGGTAAAAATAAGAAAATTTCAGATATAATGTTGTGCTATGAAGGAAATTATCTAGGAAAGAGATTACAGAGTGACAAAAAGGGTAACATTTTAGACAGGCTATTTAGGATGGGCTATTTGAGCAGATACTTAATTGATGAGAAGAAGGAATCCATGAAAAGATTTGGAGGAAAAGGGCTCCTAGCAAGTATATGAAGTGCTGGGAATGGGTTTGGCTTTTTCATAGAAAGCAAGACAGCTCAAAAGCTCCTAGATCTGATAAATAACTTCAGCAAAGTCTTAGGCTACAAAATCAATGTACAGAAATCAGTGGCATTTCCATACATCGACAACACCCAAGCTGAGGGGCAAACCAAGAACACAATCTCATTCACAACAGTCACAGAAAGAATAAAATACCTAGGAATACAGCTAACCAGGAAGGTGAAAGATTTCTACAATGAGAATTACAAAACATTGCTGAAAGAAATCAGAGATGACACAAACAAATGGAGAAACATTCCACATTCATGAATAGAAAGAAACAATATTGTTAAAATGGGGCCGGGCGCGGTGGCTCACGCCTGTAATCCCAACACTTTGGGAGGCTGAGGCGGGCAGATCACAAGGTCAAGAGATCGAGACCATCCCGGCCAACTGGTGAAACCCCATCTCTACTAAAAATACAAAAATTAGCTGGGCGTGGGGGTGCATGCCTGTATTCCTAGCCACTCAGGAGGTTGAGGCAGAAGAATCACTTGAACCCGGGAGGAGGAAGATGCAGTGAGCCAAGATCACACCACTGCACTCCAGCCTGGCAACAAAGTGAGACTCCATCTCAAAAAAAAAAAAAAAAAAAAAAAAAAAAAAAGGCTGGGCATGGTGGCTCACACCTGTAATCCCAGCACTTTGGGAGGCCAAGGCAGGTAGATCACAAGGTCAGGCGATTGAGACCATCCTGGCAAACATGGTGAAACTCCAACTCTACTAAAAATACAAAAAATTAGCCAGGCATGATGCCATGTGCCTGTAGTCCCAGCTACTCGGGAGCTGAGGCAGGAGAATCACTTGAACCTGAGAGGCGGAGGTTGCAGTGAGCCGAGATCACACCACTGCACTCCAGCCTGGGTGACAGAGAAAGACTCCGTCAAAAAAAAAAATAAATAAATAAAAAATAAAAATAAAAAAAAAAAGCCATACTGCCCAAAGCAATTTACAGATTCAATGCTATTCCAAACTACCAATGACATTCTTCAAAGAATTAGAAAAAGCTATTCTAAAATTCATATGGAATAAGAAAAGACTCTGAATAGCCAAAGCAATCCTATACAAAAAGAACAAAGCTAGAGGCATCACATTACTTGACTTCAAACTACTCTATGAGGCTACAGTAACTAAAGCAGCACAGTACTGGTACAAAAACAGACACAGAGACCGATGGAACAGAATAAAGAGCCCAGAAATAAAGCTGCACACCTATAACCATCTGGAATATAACCTAAGAAATACCATCCTGGACATAGGCCCTGGCAAAGGTTTCATGACGAAGGATGCCAAAAGCAATCACAATGAAAACAAAAATTGACAAATGGGACTTAATTAAAGAGCTTCTGCACAGCAAAGGAAACTATCAACAGAGTAAACAGCCTACAGAGTGGGAGAAAATATTTGCAAACCATGTATCTGACAAAGGTCTAATATACAGAATCTATAATGAACTTCAACAACTTTATAAGTAAAAGACAAATGGCCCTATTAAAAAGCGGCCAAAGGACACGAACAGACACTTTTCAAAAGAAGACATACATGCGCCAACAAGCATATGAAAAAATGCTCAACATCACTACCAATTAGAGAAATGCAAATCAAAACCACAATGAGATACCATCTCACACCAGTCAGGATGGCTATTAAAAATGAAAAAAAGAAAAAAAAAACATGCTGGTGAGGTTGTGGAGAAAAGAGAACACTTATACAACGCTGGTGGGAACGTAAGTTAGTTCAGCTATTGTGGAAAGCAAATTGGCAATTTCCCAAAGAACTTAAAACAGAACTACCATTCAACCCAGCAATCCCATTATTGGGTATATACCCAAAGGAATATAAACCATTCTACCATAAAGACAAACGTGTGCTTATGTTCACCACAGCACTATTCACAATAACAAATCAACCTAAATACCCATCAACGGTAGACTGGATAAAGAAAATGTGGCACATATACATCATGAAATACTGTGCAGCCACAAAAAAGAATGAGATCATGTCCTTTGTAGCAATATGGATGGACGCTGAGGTCATTATCCTAGGTGAACTAACACAGAAACAGAAACCAAATACTGCATGTTCTCACTTTATAAGTGGGAGCTAAACCTTGGGTACACATGGACACAAAGAAGGGAACAGCCACTGGGGCCTCTTTCAGGATGGAGGGTGGGAGAAGGGTGAGGATCAAAAAACTATCGATTGGGTACCATGCTTATTACCTGGGTGATGAAATAGTCTGTACACCAAACCCCATGACATGCAATCTACCTATATAACAAACCTGCAAATGCACCCCTGAACCTAAAATAAAAGTAAAAAAAAAAATTTGTTACCACAAAAATGATCTATTCATTAAGAGTTTGAAGGAATCCACTGGCAATAGAATTGTCCCTTAAGCCCTTGAAGGAGAAAATACGTAAGTTTTACAATATTTTCTGTGATGATTTTTTGAGATTTATACACACATGTCAATTTTGCAATGTACATCTTTCCAGAAATTTGTCATTTCATGATTATTTTTGTCACTTCATGATTATAATTAACTTTAATCATTTCATGATTATTTTCATGATTATTTTAACTTAGGAATTATATATTACAACTTTTTTTAAAAAAGAAAGAAGGAGAGTGGCTGAAACATACATACCAAGAGGGAGAGGGCTAGGAGACAAGGCTGGAGGGTGTAGGTTGGACAGGTAGGCAGTGTCAGATCTAATGGGCCCTTGTGGACCACATAAAGGAGTTCAGGTTTATCTCTAAATATGATGGGAAACTTTCCCAAACATACTTCTCAGTCTTCTCTCAGGGCATGGACTCCAGGGCTCAGGCCCTAGTCCTCAGCAATCACCCCCTTTTCTGCCACCCAACACCTAACATGGAGTTGGGTATTCAATAACCATTCACTGCATGAATGACTTTAAATTTTAGATGCAAAATAAAACATATAAAAGGGCCCCATTTCCATGTGCTTTACTTCCAAATAATAAAACTAAAGATGTACAGATAACATTTCCATGTATAGCTCATACTCAGTATACCTCAACATTTTTAAAGATGCCAATAAAAATGTACATGGTCTTTTAAAAAAAAAAAAGATAAACCAATTTTTGGCATATCTTTCCGGTAGAGTCCTCCTAATCTGAGTCTTTATCTTTGGCAGGTGAACTAATAGCATTCTAATGGAGCTTGCAGAAACCTCAAGGGTCTGAGAAAGTGCTACGGACACGCTGTACTGATAATTCAGCCCTTGCTCCACATACTGGCAAATCACCACTGCTGCGTAAACAGGCATTCCTGACTCCTGGCAGAGCTCTGCATGACACAAGGTCCTTCCCACTCAGATGAGGGCTTCTCACCTACCTTCAAGGCTCAGACCCAGCAACACCTCTTCTGTGGAGCTTCTCCTCCCACACGAACCCAAGATTGCTGTTCTCCCCCTCAAGAGAAAGGAAGAACATTCCTGTTGCCCCCATTTCACCAAGTGAGTTAGTTCTTGCAAACCATGGGCCTTGAAAGAATGAGAATGAGGCAAGTGCAGATGTTTGGGTTTTGGCCCCTCTGCTGGAATTGTAGTCCTGAAGAGGGCATCCCACACCACCCTGATGCCCAATATAGCACTGGGGGAAACGAGTCTTTCCTTCACATTTCATTACCACAATTTCAAACACAATTCATCATTGGGGAAGTTCTCTTCAATCCTCTGGGTGCATTACTTTTTTATTAATATCTGGGTATCATTTATTCCCAGATTTATCCTCTCTGGTCCCAAAGAAACCACATTTGTAATTCTGTCCTTTTAGAAGTGATAAAATCCTTTACTCTTAATTTGTGGGCACCCTGGCAAATTAGAACTTGCAGCCCTCTATTTCAAACCAAGATCTTATCTCCCAAGTTTTATCTCCCAAGGTCCTTTGTACACACAATAGTCACAGAATCCAGGGGAATGAGGTGTTCCCTCATGACATCCAAGTGGGAAGTTCCCAATGTGCCATATTAGACAATATATGCCATGAACAGGTCCATTCCCTGCTATTTCTAGACCACCCAATCAAGAGAAATCAGCCAATAACATACCACTCTTATTTAATACTTTTATTTTGTTTTGTTTTGAGATGGAGTCTCACTCTGCCACCCAGCTGGAGTGCAGTGGCGTGATCTCGGCTCACTGCAAGCTCTGCCTCCCAGGTTCACACCATTCTCCTGCCTCAGCCTCCCAAGTAGCTGGGATTACAAGTGCCTGCCACCACGCCCAGCTAATCTTTTCGTAATTTTAGTAGAGATGGGGTATCACCGTGTTAGCCAGGATGGTCTCGATCTCCTGACCTCGTGATCCGCCAGCCTCAGCCTCCCAAAGTGCTGGGATTACAGGCGTGAGCCACCGCGCCCAGCCAATACTTACATCTTTATGTCTTCCTTTCTACAGGGAAAATAACTGTGTTACACCTTTATAAAATTCCCCATAGAAACAACAAACAGTAAAGTAACTTTCATTGAGGTATTTTTCCATTCAAGAAACATATTTCAAGTACCAACAAGGTGCCAGGCACTGGCCCTTTTCATAACTATTGTTTAGACTGGGTTTTAAACTAATTGCCTAACCTAGCCATTCAGAAGTAGAAGTGGTGGGATGGGAGTAAATGGGCAAGTGAGTCAAAGGGGAAAGGGCTGAGATCACAAACCGGACTGATGTCTAGGAAGCTGCACAGGCAGATGGGCACCAGATGGCTAGGGTTCAAGGACTTCTGGATGACATGATAAGGAACTTGGACTCTATCCAGAATGTGATGGAAAGCTAATAGGTATTTCTTTTCTTTTCTTTCTTTTTTTTTTTTGAGACAGGGTTTCACTCTGTTACCCAAGCTGGACTTCAGTGGCACAATCATGGCTCACTGCAACCTCCACTGCCCAGGCTCAGGCGATCCTCCCGCCCCAGCCTCCCAAGTAGCTGGGACTACAGGCACGTGCCACCACACCTGGTTGATTTTTGTATTTTTTTGTAGAGATGGGGTTTTGCCATGTTGCCTAGGCTGGCCTTGAACTCCTGGGCTCAAGCAATCTGTCTGCCTTGGCCTCTCAAAGTGCTAGGATTACAGGGGTGAACCACCACATCCAGCCTAATAGGTATTTCTGATATTACATTAAATCTGTATCTTGACATGCTAATTAAATTTGATTTTCCATGCATAAGCAGGAATATATGTGTATGGACTATTTAAGTCCTTTATTTCTTCTATCAGAATTTTATAATTATTTCTAATATATGTGTATATACACATATATGAAAGTTTCTACATTAGTACTACAAATAGGATCTTTCTCTTTCCTTTTCTTTTCTAGCTGTATAGCTGCAGCTAAAAACAAACATCTTTGCCTTATACTCTACAACTTTGTTGAAAAGTTTTCTGGATGAGTTCTTGGATTTTTCTGTTCACATTACTTTAAAAAATAGTATTTTTATTTCTCCATCTTTCCCACATTTAGCTTTCATATTCCACTTTACCACTACATGTATTTAAAACATAATATCAAATGGAAATAGTAATAAAGAATTATGCTTGTATTGGTCCCACGTAGAACTTCTTATTAAAAATATTATTGGCATCTGAGCATGGTGGCTCATGCCTACAATCCCAGCACTTTGGGAGGCCAAGGGGGGTGGTTGCTTGAGCTCAGGAGCTTGAAAACAGTCTGGGCAACACGGTGAAACCCCATCTGTACAAAAAATACAAAAATTAGCTGGGCATAGTGATACATGCCTGTAATCACAGCTATTTGGGAGGCTGAGGTGGGAGGATTGCTTGCGCCTGGGAGGCAGAGGTTGCAGAGGGCTGAGATTGTGCCAATGCCCTCCAGCCTGCATGACAGAGTCTTTTTTTCTGAGACCCTGCCTCGAAAAAGAAAAAAAAAATTGGTTCTTCTAATCTTTGTATATGAAAGAAATCCTCTATTCGAAGCTTAATTTGTTTTTAGACCTTTTATCAAATGTTTTTGATGAGTCAGGATAGTTATATGTACTGTTTTTCCCAGTGATAAACATTATGCTAACAGTTTTTCTTGAATTAGACCAGGAATTGCAACCTTTTTATATAAAGAACCAGATAGTAAATATTTTAGACTTGGTGAGTCATATATGGTCTCTGTTGCATATTCTTCTGTTTAACAACCCTTTAAAAATGCAAAAACTATTCTTAGCTTGTACATTGTACAAAACAAGTCAATGGCAACAGGATTGGCCTGTAGGCCGTAGTTTGCTCAGCCTGCTCCCATTCTGCCCCACCTCCCCTGCAGGCAAAGAGTGGTTATTAAATGGCCATAATACTCTTTGTTAAGACTCCAGAAAGACTTAGGTGGTGCCTAGTACACCCTATCACCTAGACAAAAGTACTACTAGGAATCTTCAGGGGATTGTTCTGCACAAAGCAGAGAGGGCTGTCTCAAAGGCTATTATAGATGTGGCTTTTGAGGCATAGAGTGAACCCCACTAAGATTCACAGGAAACTCACAACATTTTAAAGAAAGTTGGTTATTAAAAAATACTAACAGCTTGGCCTAAAAGGGATAGGATAGAGACAGCTCAAAATGAAAAAAGGCCTCTGGGCGCCCACTCTTCAACAGGCAGGAAGCAGGGTGAGAAAGCTGTATATTATGGGCTAATTGTTATAGAAAAGAGAAGACACCTCATAGGGTGGAACCAAGAGTCCTGGAGAAACATGGATTAGGGAACCACTCCCACAGAAGATAATTATATTCCCAGACCCTAGAACAGGGGCCATGACAACATGTGCTGACTGGATTTCAGGACTGCTATGGCCGAGAGATGGCTATGTTCCTCTCCTGTCCCTCTTCTTACTACAATTAACTTACTCCTATCTCATTATTGTATATAGGGCATATGCGGAGCAGATAACCTGTCTAATTCACAAGTTTCTCAATCAAGAAGAGCTGCAACAAAATTACTACATGTGAAAGCCTCATGTGTATCCAGAACTGATGCATACCATGAGATCATCAATTCAACCCTGAGGTCATGATGGAATAATATACTTCAAGAGGCGTAGAGGGGAGTGAGTGTAGGAGGAATAATAATAATTTTGGTCAGAGAAGAGACCATGGTAGCTTAAACACAGCCACAAATTAATTGCAGTTCCTCCTATCAAGTGATAGAGTCTATTTCCCCATCCCTTAAATCTGAGCTCAACTTGTGACTAGCTTTGACCAATACAATGTGATCAACATGTTGTTATGTGACTTCTTGCAGCTTCTGCACCCTCTTGGAATGTTTCCACTATCATGTAAAGAAGCTGAGTCTAGCCTACTGAAAGATGAGAAGCCATGTGGATGAGAACTGAGGCTGGCCAACAGCCCCACCCAATAGCCCTCAGTTAATCTGCTAACTGACTGCAAACTCAGATGTAAGACCAGCTGATACCTCAAGGAGCCAAAGTGGCTATTCCAGCTGAGCCATGCCAGAACTGCCAACTCAACAGAATCATGAGCAAAGAAATCATTGTTTTATGCCACTAAGTTTTGGAACATGGTCTGTTACACCACAATCAACTGATATATTCATTGCTTCAATCAGTCTGGGTGGATAATTGGGGGATTAATTAAAACGGGAATAATTCAATGAATTATCTACTCTCCATGGATAGCACCACTGTCGAGTGGTTAAGATTTCCACTGTGATCACACTCTCACTACTCCAAGAAGTAGGAATGCCAACATCCCCTACATCCTCTCATTCCTGTCAGACCAATCATGCATAGATAGAACTAGGTTTGTGTGTGAACAGAAACTGCAGAACTAGATATAGTAAATTAATGCTCATTTATTATTACCTTTACTATATTTAAAAGTTTGCATTATTCTCCTATTGAAACAACTCTTGCCAATTTTACCATTAACTCACTTGTCAAATCTGAAGAATAATTCTCATTGCCTATTCCCTTGCTTTAAAATTTCCCCAATGTTTTCAGAATAAAATTAAGACTTCTTAACATGGTATACAAGGCTTGCCATGTCATGGCCTCTGCCCTTCAGGTCTCCCCATTAGCCAATCCCCGTTTTACCAAAAGCAAAGCAAAGTTCAGCCTTCGCTGTAACTTCACTAAACTACTTGTAGTTCATTGAATGTGCTGTGTTTTCTCTAGCCCCCGTGTTTTTTCATGTGCAATTCTTCTGGTCTGGTGTTTCCTGCCTCTTTACATCGCCAATTCCTACTTAGGGATGTCAATATCTAAGAAGCAGTTCCTGATGACCCCTCTCCACTACATTCACCAAATACTTTTTACACTGTTTTGTCATCATTTATTTACCTATCTCTTCAAAAGCGAAGAGCTCCTGGTAAAGACAGTCGCTGTCCTTTCATCTCCGCATCTAGCAGAGGTGCTGGGCCATAGTAGGTACTTAATGGTCTGCTGAGTAAAGCAGTGAATAAACTGTAGCCACACTTCTAAAGGTCTGATATTGTTCTATTTATTTTATATATCACTACAGGTAGCCCATTTCAGCAGTACTATACATTGAAGTGATAATACTACAAAAATGTAGGAAGAATAAAGTACTCTCCTACATAGAAAATAGCCAAAGATTTTTAAAAACCTATTATAATGTTTGAATTATATTTTGTTCATAAATGTACAACCCTCTTTGGTAAAACTTCACATTTTACTCAGCAACATAAGTAACAACTTTATAAAACATCCACAGAGTGCAATAGGTATGGAAATTATGTATCACTGAAATTTTAAAAAGTAGTATTTATAACACATGTTCATGTATACTAGTCCAATTTTGATATATATGTTGGCAATAGGGCATAGAAGAAACCAGAAGCCATTATTTTCAAATATTACACAGAGACAATTTTTATACTGGAAGGATCCCTTAAGTCATCCAGCTGAATGTCCTTATGTTACTGATGAGGACACTGTGCTCTGGAGCAATTAAGTGACTAAAGTCACTCATCTAGTTGATACGGGTGCCAAGATTAAAAGCAAAGATAGGCTGGGCATGGTGGTATGGTAGAAATATTCAACTTTGTCATCTTTAACCATTAAAAAGAATGTTTTTGATATTTAAAAAGAGTATTTTCCCCTGAGAATAAGTAGATTAAAATTTCTGTGTATAATAAATTATGAACAAAATGGAGTTTATTCCAGGAATGCAAACATTTAAAAACTACCGCTGAGCGCAGTGGCTCACGCCTGTAATCCCAGCACTTTGGGTGGCTGAGGCGGGTGGATCACGAGGTCAGGAGTTCAAGACCAGCCTGGCCAAGATGGTGAAACCCCGTCTCTACTAAAACTACAAAAATTAGCCAGGTGCAGTGGCAGGTGCCTATAATCCCAGCTACTTGGGAGGCTGAGGCAGAAGAATCACTTAAACCTGGATGGCAGAGGTTGCAGTGAGCCAAGGTCGCGCCACTGCACTCCAGCCTGGGCGACAGAGTTGAGACTCTGTCTCAAAAAAAAGAAAACAACAACAACAACAACAACAACAAAAACGATCAAGATAACTTACCTACATTACAGAATAAAAAAGAAAAATCATATGATAGTTTCAACAGATGCAGAAAAGGCATTTGACAAAATTCAACATCCCTTCAGTATAAAAACTCAACAAATTGGGAATGGAAGAAAATTCCCTCATTCTGATAAAAGGTGTCTAAGAAAAACTGAGAGTTCATATCACATTTAATGGTGAAATACCTCATGCTTCTCCTTAGGTCAGACACTAAACCAGGAGGTCCACTTTCACTACTTCCATCTGCTTTTGTACTAGAAGCCAGTGCAAAAGTCAAGAAAGCAAAATAAAAGGCATACAAATTGGGAAAAAAGTAAAATTGTCATTCACAGATGACATCATTATTTACATACAAAATCCTAGGGAATCTACAGAAAAGTTTCAAGATCTAATGAATGAATTTAGCAAAGGCACAGGACACAAGATCAACATACGAAAAGCAATTGTATTTCTATGAGCAACAAACAACAGGAAAATAAAAAAATTTAAATACCATTTATAATAGCATCAAAAAGGAATAAAATATTTAGAATAAATTTAACCAAACAACAGGCAGGACCTCTACAATGAAAACCACTCAATAGTGCAGAGAAACAAACTAAAGAAGACATAAATAGAGTTTGATATCATGTTCATGCATTGGAAAACTCAACATTGTTAAGTGTCAATTCTCTGTAAACTGATTTATAGATTCAATGCCATCTTAAATGAAATCCTAGTGTGCATTTTGTAGAAATAACAAGTTGATTCTAAAATTTATATGAAAATATGAAGGATCTAGAATGGCCAAACTTTCTTTAAAAACAAGAACAAAATTAGACAACTTACAACATCTAATTTCCAAACTTATTTTTATAAAAGCCACAGTAATCTAGACAGGGTACTGATAAAAGACTACATGAAAGATCAGTGGAACACAATGCAGTCTAGAAAGACCCATAAATATAGAAAAAGTGCTCATCATCATTAATTGCCAGAAAAATGCAAATTAAACCTACAATGAGATACTACTTCATATTCACTTAGAATGACTAACACTACAAAGACTGGCAATATCAAATATTAGAGAGGATATAGAACTGGAATTCTCATACACTGCTGGTAAGAATGAAACATAGTACAACTACTTTGCAAAACAGTTGGGCAGTTTCTTACAAAATTAAACAAACATTACCCTTTGCCCACAAATTGTATGCCTACATATTTACCCAGGACAAATGAAAACATATCCAAGGACTTTTATAGGAATGTTCAAAGCAGCTTTATTCATAATAGCCAAATGCATACAGCTCAAAAGATTAAACAGCAGGTGAATGGTTAAACAAATTACAGTACACCCATACAATGAAATACTAATCAGAAATTAAAAAGTAGTGAACTACTGAATTATGCAACAACATGGATGAATTTCAGAGACATGAGAGTACATACTACATGATTCCAAAGCTACATTTAGATGCTAAAAGTCACAACAGTGGTGGTCTTGCAGTGAGTGAAGGGGAGGGACTGACTGAAAAAAAAGGCATGACAAAACTTTCTAAGGTGGCGGAAATATTCTAAACAATGATCTGGGTGGTGATGACACAGGTGTAAATATTTGGATTTTGTTTTGTTTTTTAAGACAGGGTTTCACTCTGTCACCCAGGTCAGAGTGCAGTGGCACGACCATGGCTCACTGCAGCCTTGATTTCCCCAGGCTCAAGCAATCCTCTCACCTCAGCCTCCTGAGTAGCTGGGACTATAGGCACACACCACCACACCTGGCTAATTTTTGTATTTTTTTGTAGAGATGGGGTTTTGCCATGTTGCCCAGGCTGGTCTCGAACTCCAGGCCTCAAGTAATCCATCTACCTCGGCCTCCCAAAGGATTGGGACTACTGATGTGAGGTGTATTTGTCACTATTCATCTAACTGCATACACATTATCTGTGCACTTACTGTATATAAATTATACCTCAATAAAAAGTTTATTTACTTCTTTATATTAAATGTCTATTAATAAGCTGGGCGCAGTGGCTCACACCTGTAATCCTAGCACTTTGGGAGGCCATGGCGGGCAGATCACTTGGGGCCAGAAGTTTGAGACCAGCCTGGCCAACATGGCAAAACCCTGTTTCTACTAAAAATATTTTTAAAAATTAGCCCGGGCGTGGTGGCGCACGTCTGTAATCCCAGCTACTCAGGTGGCTGAGACATGACAACCTCTAGAACCCTGGAGGCTGAGGTTACAGTGAGCCATGATTGTGCCGCTGCAGTCCAGCCTGGGTGAAAAAGTGAGACTCTGTCTCAAAAATAAATAAATAAATATTAATAAAGCAAACGGACTACAGTTGGTGGGAAAGGGCTTAAATCACCCCAGAGTACTCAAGAAGTGCTCCTATTCATGAGAAGCACAGATAGAAAAACTAAATTTCCTCCTAAAACATACAACTATGTGTCTAGTGTTATGATTTCATCTTAAATGATAAAATATCATTCAATTAATTCCCCTTAAAAACTCAAACATTCATTCTCCATTTCCTAATTGAAAGAACTAAATGTTGATAAAGGCCTATGTTTTAAATGGCTATTTATTTTCACTCCAAAGGCACATCTACTGTTCCTACTATTATTGCTACAGATATTCCAAAAAGTGACTAGGTGGAAAGAAGGGATTAAAAAATACCACCACAGGAAAAAAATATTTAACTTATGACCTAAATAATTTTAGTCATTTAATATCTTAAAATATATCTTATGACTTAAAAGAGAAAGTATTCTATTTACCATATATACAAAGAAAATACCGTATTTGGAATCCAATAGACTTGGTTCCAGAATACATAAAGAACTGCTACAACTGATGATAAATAAATAACCTGACCTTAAAAATGGTACAAAACTTTTAAAGAGATGTTCATAAAAGAAGATATACAAATGGCCAATAAGCAAATGAAAAAATGCTCAACATCATTAGTTGTTAGAGGAATGTGAACTAAAACTACAATAAGATACTACTTCATATTCTTTTAGAATGGCTAACACTACAGACTAGCAAAATATTCCCAAAAGAAAAATTATTGCTGCTGTTATGACATGAATTATTTCAGTCATTTAGTAATACATTAAAAGACATTTCATGACATAAAAGAGAAAGCATAAAATCTGGAGAGATAGAAAGTAGATTAGTGTTTGCTTAGGGGTAGGGGAATGGAAGGGATAGGGGAACGATAGCTAAAGGGTATGGAGTTTCTTTTGGAGGTGATGAAAATATTCCAAAATTAACTGTGGTGACAGATGCACTTACCTGTGACTACACTAAAAGCCACTGAATTGTACACATAAAATGGGTGAATTTTAAGATATGTGAATTATATCTCAATAATGTTATTTTTAATAATGCTGTTATTAAGATTTTGATTGGGATTAAATTGGGATCTATAGATTTGGAGAAAACATGTATGTTTATAATATTGATTCTTTCAATACATGAACATTATATAATGCTCCAATTATTTGGGTCTTCTTTAGTTTCTCTCAATAATGTTTTATAGAATTCCATGCAGAAGTACTGTACATATTTTATTAGAGTCATTCCTCGATATTTACTATTACTGATGCTATTTATATGGTATATTTTAAAGAAGACAAAGCATTGAATTTTTTTATTGTGGGGAAGAACAGAGCATGGTGTACATATTAAATAATCAAAATTTCAAAATAAATCACTATACATGGTCTAACATGATTTTTTCTGATTTTAAATTTTATTTACAGAAAAGTCATACAAATATATAAAAATTATATTTAATCACTCATTTAACAAATCACATTCATGAAAAAGAATAAAAATACATAAACTTGGCTGGGTGCAGTGGCTCACACCTGTAATCCCAGCACTTTGGGAGGCCAACGGGGGTAGACTGCTTGAGGTCAGGAGTTTAAGATCAGCTGGTCAACACGGTGAAACCCCATCTCTACTGAAAATACAAAAATTCACTGGGTGTGGTGATGCACACTTGTAGTCCCGGCTACTTAGGTGGCTGAGACACAAGAATCACTTGAACCCGGAGGTGGAGGTTGCAGTCAGCCGAGATTGCACCACTGCACTCCAGCCTGGGCGACAGAGCGAGACTCTGTGTCTCAAAAAAAACCATAAACCTACAAATGTCCTGAAAATTCCATGACAAGTAAATGCTTCCTAATTTGTATTTGCTATGTTCCTTAGCTTACAGTGAAAACAGAAGTACTGTTTTAGTCTCCATATTTCCTCAATATATGTATCTATTAGCAAAATGCTTTCACAGCAAAGAAATTTTATTTAATGATGGCCAATTTTACATCTAAAGCTGGTAACATTCAAAGTGTTAAAAAAAATCCATCATATTGGTGTTACAAACACTTCATTATTTTTTCAACTAACTATATTAATTAGTTCCCTGAAAGCAGATTGTAGAGTTTTACGATCACAAAATAATTATTCATTTTCTACTAAAATGAAATAAAGATATAAATCACATTTGGCCTTAAAATTAATTTATGTGAGTACTTAATGTTTCTGGATCTGTTTTCTCATCTGTAAAAGAAGGTTAGATGAAAACATCTAGTCTCAACTAGTTTTAAAACTCTGTTAATTTTATAATAAGAAAACAGCAAAACCATATGGTCATACCATACTTTAAGCCAAAAACGTTTGATAAATTAGATGTATACAAGCTAAAGGACTCAGTAATTATTAGTTCACATAAGAGGTCTCTGCTTTCACTCCAGAATTAGCAGCCTCCAAAAATTTTTCAAAAACATACTTGATATTTATTGAAAATGAAAATTCATCATGTTTCTGACATAAGATACAGGGATATAAGATTATGTCTTATATTTCTACTAAGAACCATAGTTATCTCACTGATATTACGATAAAAAGCATAGTATATATGAAACCATTTAGTTCTTAGGCAATTCATAATTCTAAGATATTTCAGACGTTTTGAAAGTATTCAAATAAACAATATGGTTATAAATAGGTCCACTTTTTTTTTAGTGGAATAATGTGAAAGACTGGACTTTATCTCAAGGAGGCTTCAGAAACTATGTAATCCAAAACCATGTAGCTACAGTTAACTATCATATATTGATGAAAGTAAGTATTTGATATAAAAATGTTACCTGATCAATTATAGAATTTAGCTTGGTAAGTAATAGAAATCCTCGACCATGGACAAGGTACTGTCCAAGGGTTGCCATGTGCGTCTCCTCCTCTTCTTCCTCCCTGGCCTCCACCCTCTGGACCACTGCATTGCAAAGCCGGTTGACATCGGTCAGAAATTCACGTGCCAGTGAGTTACTGTCGGTGCTCATGACCGAGCTATAAAATAAGTATTACAAAAAAAAAAGATTAGGAAAACAAATACAAATTTACTTTTAAAACTATGTGTTTTTGTTGTTTGTTTCTAACTGAAGATTGGCTTAAAATTACTGGAAATTGGTACTTAACCCTATAATATTTTCAGGCATAGTTCTGACCTAGTCAGGTGCTTCTTAAATAATTCCTTCCATGGCGAAATGAGTCCCAGGCTTGAAATACCTGAGCATAGCTGAGAATAGGTAAGTAACAGCACCTGGATGGAAAACATTTTCTCTTTTTAAGAGAGAAGACTTTCTTTCTTAAATACAATAAAAATAAACCCATTACTTATAAAATGTTCTTGCTTTATATATTTTATAATAAATTGGTATTTTAAAAATATAACCCATTTTTCACTTGATAGAGCCCACAATCACTGACCCATCCTCCCCAAACACCAAAGTTCAGTTAATAAAAAGGATTTCCAATCAGGTGAATAAAAACTGAAAAATTCTAATAGCTAAAGTTACGCCACTTCACTTCTTATGACATATTTAAATCAAATAAAGGGTAATGTGACATTTTAAGATTAAGGGAAATAAGCTACAGCAAACAGAATAGGGGAACATAAATACAGAGGAAAATGTACAAATTTCCAGAAGGGAAAAACCATGAACAACGAAATCCCCAAGGAGTTTCAAAATAGTTTCATCTCTGGGCTAAAAGTAATTTTGAGGTATCCAGTAACCTTTAAAAGATATTTAACATAGAGATGTTAAGTTAAATAAGACATGTATTGCCTCACCTCCCTTCACCCGCTTCAGGGGGAAGCCCTCCCCACAGTCCCTGCTGAGAGGGCAGTGCACATATGACTATGCCTCTTGCCAAGAGGCACAGTCAAGCTCTGGGCCCCAGTTCAGCTACAATCCATGCTCATCACAAGATGTGACTCGTATAGTGTGGGTTGCAAAGAGGAACTGGACTAATCAGGTTTTCTTTCTCTCTCGGGAATTTAAACTAAAGGGATATAGTTGATGTCCTGAAAGGTCACGCAGAGATGGGGCTGTGGTAGTCATTATGAGGTAGCTGAGGGTCAGAAGAAGCCAACCAGGTAAAAATGAACCAACGGGATACAAAGAGAAGTAGATAAAAATGAAAGGGAAGTACCAGAGAAATTCCTAATACTACCTTAGTTCCTGTTCATCCTGGGACCTCACAGTTTAATTCTTTGATTCCCATCAAAATTCTAGGTATTACAGTAACTCTCTTTTAGTATAACAAACATCAATATTTTTAATATTTTTGAATATTAGAAAGGAGAAAAATATAAAGTGCATCTCTCATTCTAAAATACGGCAATAACCTCTATTATATATTAATATTGGTTCTTTATATGCTTTCAGAAAGTAAAAGTATTAAATAAATCCAATAACCTAATTTATATTCAGTTCATATTTATCCAACTTTAATATATTTCATTGAATCTGTTCATAATTTTAGGATACATAATTACTTAGTACACCACTAAAAAAGAATTAAACTATGACACAATGCTTCTTATCACATAAAATTTCCCCACAATATCACCTTCTGGGCCATCAAGACCATTCATGCCACAGCACTTAAGAGTACTGCAGTATCGTTTCTGGGATTTTCCTTCAAAGCTACTAACGTCATTCTATAAATTTATATGCTGGTGCTTTCTTGATCTTACCAGATGGTATCAGCAGAAAGTTTCAGAAAACAACCAGGAAAACATTTAAAAACTCAACAGGTATAGTACCAGCAATGCACAGAAGTCTGCTGAAGCACTGACAATGTGAAAGTCTATGATCAAGTGCACTCATGTGCAGGCCAGGTCAACTACTTCACAAGTGCTTATAAGACACTATCCATTGCAAGATACACTGCAACTTTAGAAACATTAAAAATGTGAAAAACTGAAAAATTATGGGAATAATTAAGTCTATCTTCTAGAAATTAAGAAAATGGAAATCAATATAAATTTTTAGATATAAAAGTTAATGCCATATCAGTAAAAGGCATTATAATCTCAACAGAAATGTATGTTTTTTCCTGATTTAAAAATGTACCTAAAATATATACATGTTTATATGAATAGGTTAGTGTATATACATGATTACTTGCTTTTATTTAATTTAGATATATTGAAAAACATTTCACATGAGCTCTCACTCTTTAATAGCTGTATGGCATACTGCTACATGTAAATATTACATATATAGCATTATATTATAGTTTACTATGTAGCCAATCTCTTATTTTTGAATAGATTGTTTCTAGCTTTTTATTATCATAAACAAAGCTACAATTAACACCCTTATACTACTTGCCCCTTTATCTTATTACTTCCTTGAAGTAGAAATTGCCGTTATTTCATAAGGTAGGTTTTACATATTTCTTGTTAGGTTTACTCCAAGGCGCTTTATATTTTTGCCATTATTATGAATGGGATTTTGTTTTCCGTAACATATTCTAGGATTTAAAACTGGTATATAGTAGGCACATAGGAAGTGGATTTCTTTTGATATAATAATCATATATCTAAACTTCTGAGCTTTTTTATTATTTTGTTTTGAATTTCCCAGATATAATACTCTATAATCTACAAATAACAAAAATTCTGAATTATCTTATCCAATATTCATACAATTTCCATTATTCTATCTAATTGTATCAGTTTGCACTAACAGAACAACATCAGTTGTGGTGATGGGGACACTTTTGCTTTGTATATTAGGAAGTATTCACCTCTTCCTAACAGAAATATTGAATTTAATTGAATGACTTTCAGTCATTTTTAATGTCAACTGAAGAGATGATTGCACGGTATTTTCTTTAAATTTTTTCTAATATTTAAAGTACCCAGAAACAAAGAATATATAACATGAGGTTATAGCCAACAACCAGATATAAATAGTATACTGTATATATCCTTTTGTAACTTTGCTTTTTCCTCTTAATGTTATGTTCATTCCATTAAACCATCATGCAATATACCATTGTATGAATAAACCACAAACTATACATCCATCTCTACTAAGAAAAGTTTAGCTGTTTTAACTTTGGGGTTTAACGAATGTCAGATAATTATGTAGTTTCAAGCCTTCAAAATCATGTTGATGGTTAATATTTATTACATTATATACTTACCAGTCTTTCACCACTGCTGTGACATTTACAGTCTATATCATTTGGACTCATAAACTAGATGAAACAAATATTCTTAGAACAAAGCTTCACCTACAAAAAAAAAGACATATTAATCACAATAGTAAACCACAAATAATTTTAACAAAGTTGTGACATAATCAGTGGCCAGTCTTCATACATGATGTATGAAACCACCAATGAAATTTTTAGATCTTAGGAGCACACTAAAAAAATGCCTACTTCAAGAATTCCTCTTGAGAGGGAATCTTGGAACATAGTGATCTGAAAAAGCAACTCAATAATAGCTCTCTACTTTTCCTCTTCCAGTTCTTAACTTAAAACCTCCAGGTAAATCACAAGTTAACTGCAAAGGAGAATTAGACCAGTCTTCTTAACACTAGAATCTAGGAGGCAGCGGAATATCTAAATACTATCACGACAAAAAGGTTTTCAACTCAGAGTTCCTAGGTACAGCCATTACTTTCCTGTTAGGATGAAAGGTATTTGAGGATACATAAGAACTTAGACAATACCAAAGCCAAACATTAATTTATTAATCACCATCAAATTTCATATCTTTATTGAAGTTTTTAAATGAATTAATCTTTTGAGTAGAATATAATGAAGGTTATTTCTAGAAGACTAAAGGATAAATTTCTATTTCTGGGATAGCAACAGGATATTTCTCTTTAGTTACCTGCTCTCCCCTTCTCTACAGTGCTTACCAGGAAGAAGCATGAAGAATGTTTCCTTATCATAGTTATGCGGCAAACATGAAGATATTTTGAATTATAAGTTTTAAAATCAGATTGATTTTTAAAATTATTTTTATTTAAAAAAAAATGAGATGGGGTCTTGCTGTGTTGCCCAGGCTAGTCTTGGACTCCTGAGCTCAAGTGATCTGCCCACCTCGGCCTCCCAAAGTACTGGGATTACAGGCGTGAGCCACTGTACCTGGCCCAGGAGTGATCTTTAATTACTTCAAAATGCTCAAATCTGGAAAACTGTCTTAAGTTTCTTTCAGCTTGCCAACCAGTTCTTGTACCACACATTATTCTAGGCACTTGAAGATAAACCAGGCAGAAAACAGCTGTGTTAGACAATGCAGGGCTTTGTGTGAATTAGGAAAAAACATCCCTTCCTGATGGGTGCAGCTCCACACAGCAGGGCACACAGCTATCAAAGCACAGGGTATATTTCAGTCTCACCCCCTCATTCCTCTGGCAGAGCACCAGAAAGCAGTATATCAACGGCTCAACCAAGTGGAACAGCCCTGGAATAGAGTCCTAACACACCTTCCATACCTGTTCCTGCTGCCTCCTGAGCTAATCAATATCATGCAAATTTTTTTTTTTTGAGAGGAGTTTCACCCTTTCGCCCAGGCTTGAGTGCAGTGGCGCGATCTCGGGTCACTGCAACAACCTCTGCCGCCTGGGTTCAAGTGATTTTCCTGCCTCAGCCTCCCGAGTAGCCGGGATTACAGGCGCCCACCATTATGCCTGGCTAATTTTTGTATTTTTAATGGGGGGGGGTTTCGCCACATTGGCCAGGCTGGTCTCAAACTCCTGACTTCAGGTGATCCACCCGCCTCGGCCTCCCAAAGTGCTAGGATTACAAATGTGAGCCACCGTGCCCAGCCCATAGAGATATTTTTAACTTTAAAATTATGGAAGGGGAAAAAATAAAATAAAATTATGGAAGGGAAATTATGGATCAAACTGTAAGCCTAAAGATGGTATTATATTAGCTGCTCTGACTACTACCACCCTCCAGCTTGGACTACCACAAGGTAGAGCCATCTATCTTGCAATGCTAAGATGATTCCAGCTAACTCAGCGTGGCCGTAAGAAGTGAAAGCTGGCAGCTGGTCAGCTAGATCCGTCTGTTTCTCTTATCGAGGGACATTTTCTAGGCCAAGCTGAGGGATTTCTCTAATGCTCTTAAACTGGCATGGCTTCTTTATCTCTGTAGTTTACAAAGCCTCACTTGAATATCTATGCAGTTTCATTTTATCCAAGATCATAATTCTAACCACCAGCACAGTCACATGTGTCCTCCTTGAGTCTGCCAGCACTCTTTATACACACCTGTATTCTAATTTTTATCATCCTGTATCATTCTAGGTGTCCAGAACATCTGGAAGTATAGATACATTTTTAATAATGATGCCCTTAGCCCATTATATATTTGCCTCTGTTTCCAAACTACATAGACACACCCTGTAGTTACTTATCTATGACTGTTTCACCCTCTAGGTCACAAGTTACTTAAGGCCAGGGACCCTGTCTTATTACTTTTTACCTTTCATAGCTATAATGCCCAATTTTAAATCTAACTTTATCACTATAATTTCAATTTCTAATACAACAATTGTTATAATGTCATAACAAAGAAAACTTGCCCCAACGATATTCGTAGAATTTTTATATCCTTAGCATTTACCGTAAATGAAAAACATAGTAACAAATGCCTATAATCATATAAATGACCTCCTCAGAAAAATAATGTTTCACTTTTTCCTCATATAGTGACTGGTAAAATGTAAAATATGAACAAGCAAAAACAAAACATACATACACAAACACTGATTTAATGTATTAGCTACCTCTCATTTTATGTCATCAGAAGTTTCATCAATATGCCATTTAATTCAACAAATGTTATTGAACATTTACTGTATGTGAGCTACTAATTTATGCACTGAGTTTAGAGCAGAATCAAAATCCTTACCATCATGTATTATAGTGAGGTGGAGACAGATGAAAAGCAAACATACACTATAATGTCAGGTCATGTTAATTCGATGAAAAAGTAAAACAAAGTAAGGGTATAGAGTGACAGGAATGCTGTTTCAGATAGGATGGACAAGGAAGGTCTGAAGCAGTAATATTTGAGCAAAAACTTGAATGGAATAAGTAAATGGACCATGTGGGTATCTGGGAAACGTGCGTTCCAAGCCACTGAGATAAATGTATGCTGGATGTACGGGATATTGAGTGCAAGAGGACAAGAGGTAAAAAATAATTGCAAAGAAAAAGTGAGAAAAGTCAACCCATTCTTCCTTCTCAGGAACTAAAGTAAGCATGGAAAGAGGAAATAGAAGTGTTCCCCTGAAACCATTTCTCCCCAAGAATGCAAGTCCCTCCCAATGCCCACCCAAAAAAGACTATAAGGTTTTTTAGCCTGTGTGAAGAATAGTACTGTTTACTGATAGGTAAGACTGACATAAGAACAGTTGTGAGGGAAAATAACGTTCAGTTTTAGCTATGTTAGGTGTGATAGGTTTCTTAGAAATTAAGTAATCAAGTAGGCAGCTGAAGATCAAAACAGGCAGGGAAGCTGGAACTAGTGAATCAATTTGGGAATCATCAGGATATCATCAATAAATTTTTAAAGCCATGGAACTAGACAGATGAAATAACCCAGAACAGTGCTGTTCACCGGAGCTTTCTGAGACGATGAGCCTGTTCTATAATTTCTGCCACACAATATAGCAGACAAAAGCCACATGTGGCTAGGGGCTACTATAATGAACAGCGAGGACCTAGAGAATGAGTGTAAGGGAGCAGAGAAGAGGTTTTACAACTGAGCCCTGGGCTTAGCATGGCTGAGTCAATGGAGAGGGTAAGTATCCAACACAGGAGACTGAGAAGGAACAGCAAGTGAGGCAGGAGAAAAATCAGGTGAGTGGTATCTCCCAGAAACCAGGTGAAGAAAGCTTGAAACAGAAAAGAGTAACCAATGCTATCAAAAATTCTGAGAGAAAGCTGGCGGGTGCAGTGGCTCAAGCCTGTAATCAGAGCACTTTGGGAAGGTGAGGTAGGCTAATCACTTGAGGCCAGGAGTTCAAGACCAGCCTGGGCAACATGGCGAAATCCCATCTCTACTAAAAATACAAAAATTAGCCGGCATGGTGGTGCACACCTGTAATCCTAGCTACTTGGGAGGATGAGGTATGAGAACTGCTTGAACCTGAAAGGGGGAGGTTGCAGTGAGCTGAGATTGAGCCACCGCATACCAGCCTGGGTAAGAGTGAGACCCTGTTTCAAAAAAAAAAAAAAAAGAATTCTGAGAAGTTAAGTTAAGTAAGATGAAGACTGGGAATTGACTGCTGGATTTAGCAACATGGAAGTTACTGACAATCTTTTCAAAGAATGGTCTTGGTGGGGTGGAAAAGAGTGGTGAGGAAATGAAGGCAAGCAATTTAAACAGCTCTTTTGAGAAGTTCTGCCACAAAGCATGCAAGGGAACGGGTGATGGCTTGAGGAGGACATGAGATAAGTGAGGTTAAAAAAAAACCTGATTAATATTATAGCTTGTTTCTAAGCTGAAACATAGTATGTTTCTCTAACAGAGAAAGGAAAATAGATGAAAAACTAGAATGAGAAGAGAGAATTCTAGGAACAATGAGTAGGCAAAACGAAGAAGACCAACATACAAGTGGAAGGAACAGTGGCAGTTCATCTAATTGAATAAGAAGAATGTCAGAGAATACGAGTATAGATGTAGGAAGATTAGTATATTTGGCAATAGGAGGACCAAGAATTTTTTTCAGGTGCTTCTATTTTCTTGGTGCAATAAACAGCAAGACTGCCAGCTGAGAGTGAGAAGTGGGAAGGAGGTGTTAAACTGATGAGTGTAACAGGGTCAAAAAACAGCAGCCCATAAGAGACTTCCTGCCAGGCTGCCAATGAGTAACTAAATCAAGATTGAGTTCCATTGTTCAATAACTATACCCATACTATAATCCAACTCTCCTTCATGTTCCCAAGTATAGAATGGTGGACTGTCAAATACTCCATGGGAATCTAGATATATTACAGCTGCAGCATTCTCCTAATCTGTAAATGTAGACTCTATAGGTAGAAACTGGGTTATCTGGAATGAATTCTTAGAAAGCCTACATAGCCTTTATTGCTCATCTTTTCTTTAAGTATAATATTTGAAAATCTTTAAAAATGATCTCTAGAGTCTTTTGTGGAAGTAACATCAAGTTTACAAAAATCTATGGAAGCTACATTTTTTTAAATTTTAGAACATTATTCCTCCACAGGCTTCTACAAGTTTTCACATTTCACTATAATTACTCAAAGATTATTAGTTGAGCAATGACATTAACAAATGTTCTCAGAATCTGACCGTGAGATGTGAATTCATTTTAGAGCATCCAGAGTTCTGATACAATCTCCTCCCCAATCTTGGGCTTCAATTTTCTCCTCTTATTTTTCTCACTTGTACCCTTCTTAGTCTGTGTGTAGATCATTCTCCATGTCAGAGAAGAGAAGAAAGCTAAGAAATTTCATTTGTTCTCTGTATCTGATTATTGGGTCCATTTGTTGGTAAGAATCTATTATTTATTTGTCATACTCATTCTCTCTCTCTCCCCCTACTGCCCTATCCCCCACCCCTGCGCCCTTTCTTTCTTTTTGTAGAGACAGGGTCTCACCATGTTGTCCAGGCTGGTCTCGAACTTCTGGGCTCAAGTGAACCTCCCGCCTTGACTTCCCAAAGTGTTGGGATTACAGGCGTGAGCCACTGCACCTGGCCTCATTTTCGTTCTCTACATATAAAATGTAAAAGGTCAGCCCAACTTTTTCAAAATCTTAGCTCATTATTCTACCAGGACTGTGTTCCTATTCTATAGGTTTTATATGTGTGGGTGTATGTGTGCATATATATATATACAGTTTTTTTTTTGAGACAGAATCTCGCTCTGTCGCCCAGGATGGAGTGCAGTGGCATGATCTCAGCTCACTGCAACCTCCACCTCCCAGGTTCAAGTTGGCCAGGCTGATCTCAAACTCCTGACCTCAGGTAATCCGCCCACCTCCACCCTTCCAAAGTGCTGGGATTACAGGCGTGATCCACTGCACACGACCATTTGGTTTCATATCCTTCTTTCTTTCTTGTGCACATTATTTAAAAATCAGTTCATGCTGGGCATGGTGGCTCATGCATGTAATCTCAGCACTTTGGGAGGCCAAGGTGGGTGGATCACCTGAGATTGGGAGTTCGAGACCAGCCTGGCCAACACGGAGAACCCCCCCCACCACGCCCCATCTCTACTAAAAATACAAAAATTAGCCATGTGCGGTGGCACCGCCTATAGTCCCAGTAACTCAGGAGGCTAAGGCAGGAGAATTGCTTGAACCTGGGAGAGAAGGTTGCAGTGAACTGAGATCGCGCCACTACACACCAGCCTGGGCGACAGAGCGAGACTCTGTCTCAAAAAATAAAATAAAATGAAATAAAATAAAATAAAATAAAATAATAAATAAATAAATAAAATAAATCATCAGTTCATGTGGCCATGTTCCCTCTCCCTTTCCTTCACATATTATTTCCAATTGTTCAGTAGAGATACTGCCTATTATCACCTTGTAACCACTTTCCCTTCAAGAGACTATCTCTGGCATCTTACCTACCTTTTCTTCGAATTTTAGGAACTCTGTACTCCAATTCTCTATATTCCGGCTTTGTTCCATATTCCTCTTCCTGCTTATTAGTCTGCCAGCTATCATTTACAAAACAACCACTTTGTATCAGACACTAAGAACATAAAGTAATTCCAGTCTCTGCCCTCAAGAAGATTACATTACGGTGGCAAAGGCAAATCAATATATAGGGTACTATGTACTGCTAAGGGGCACTTAACCCAATTTGAGTGGCCAGGGAAGCTTCATGAAGAATAAATTGAAGTTGTACAGGTAAAGGGAGAAAAGAAGGGAAGAAAAGCATTAGAGATGGAAACAGCAGCTCAAGTTGTCACTGAAGAAATTACAGTAAGTTTGGTATCACAACTACAAAATGAGAAACAGGAAAAGTGAGGATGGAGGGAGTGGCTGGCAAAGACCAGATGGTGAAAGGCTTTTGTACACTATGCTAAGAACCTTGGGCTTTAATCTATTGGCTAGTGAGTCTTATCAGAATCACCTATAGAGTTTGTCTAGGCCCCATGATCAGAGAACCTAATCTGCTAAACCCACAGCAAGACCTAAACATCGGTATTTTTAACAAGCTTCATAGGTGATTCTAATGAACAGTCAGGGCTGAGACTCACTGCTACAGGTGACAGGAAGCCCATGAATTATTTTGAACATGTGAGTGGCATGGTCAATCTTGAACACATAGGTCATTCTAGTGGCAATGTGGAAGACACATTTTATGGAGAAAACTCTAGCTGCATGAAAACCAATTTGGAGACTGGCGTCATACTCCAAGCAAATGGTAAGGATATTTTTTTCTAAAGCAACAGTAGAATAATATAATTTTATTAAATATCCAAGAATTAAAATGAGCACAATTTTGGTGATTAATTGGATGGAGAAGTGAGTGGTAAGGGAGGGATCAGGACAACTCTCTGAATACTGGCTTGGTTAACTGGATAAATGGTACTGTCACCTGCGAAGAACACACAAGAAGAACTGAGGCACGTGTGCAGAGTCTGCTGTCAGGGCAAAACCACTCCACACCAGGTGAGCTGAGTCCTCTGTCTATTAGGCCAGTGACTAACTTCTTTACAGTGACTACTGAGACTAAATCCACCATGCCTTTCATTCCAATTTCAGCAATGCTCAAAATGTATACCTTCTCAACAACTATCCTTAACTCCATCTCATGGTTTCCAATACCAGACCGAATAAGGAAATAGCAAGTATAGACTCTCCTGAGAAGGCAGGATTAGAAAAGAAAAACAGAAAATAGAGAGGAGCTGGAGAAGGAGGCATAGGTTAAGGAATTTTTTTTTTCAAGTATTTGTATTTTTTAAAGAATTGGAAGAACCGTATTTTTAGGCTATAAGAAATAAGAGGTGGTGCGGCGTGGCCAGCCATCTCCTATCAGCTCTGATTGTGTGTACTTCTTCCCAGCATCACTGGCACCATGTTGGTAGCTTAAAATCATCATGGTGAGAGTATTTCCATCATGGAAATGGGCAAATGCTACACATTAGGGTCTTTTTTGTTTCTTTCTCCAGGAGAGCCACTTTACTAGCATACCACTGCAGCCAGCACAAGGGAAGATACTGAAGACAGGGGCAAGAGAACGAATGAATGAAGGACAAAATTCATGGAGAAAATAAGTGTGGATTGGATCAAGGGTATAGGTGAAGAGGTTAGGCTGGGGCGGGGAAGCAGGAGGGGACACATCATCCTCTGAGGCTGAGGGAAAGGAGGTAAGGAGAATTGCAGATATAGAAAACAGGTGGAAGGCCAGAAACTGAGGGAGCTCAAGAATGACTGGCTCAATTTTTTCATTCAAGTAATAGGCAAAGTTGTCTGCTTAAAGAAGAGAGTCTAGAGATTGGGGGCTAAAGGCTAAGTAATTTAGAATAATTATTGGAAGAATAGTCAAATGGGGGAAAGTAGTGATGACAGACAAAATAATTTACTGGTTGGCTACTAGCTTAGCAGAGGTGGAAAACCATGAATTTCTGGTGGTATGGATTTTTTCAGCTATTTCAGATTCACCAGCAGGATTCAGCTGCTTGGGTCTAATAATAGACAGTGCAGACTGTTATCACTGATCTGGAAATGGGAGTTTTGGTGGGTGGAGGCAGCAGAAGCATAAGTGAAGGGGACCCAAGGGTATGGGTGGAAGAACAGTCCTTATGGCCAAAAATGAGACACAGACTGGGTAGGAAAAAGAAAGAGGCCAGGAAAATAAATGTTGATAGACAAGCAGAAAATCCAGGCAATCAAGGAAGTGTGGATCTCTACCAGACTGAAGAGTACACAATGTGGGAATGAAGATGTTAGAATTTTTAGATTTCTGAAACAAGCGGTCCCAGATGACAACATCCACAGTGTGGCCCTGCAAGCAGATGTCTAAAGTGAAGTGAAAGTTAAGGTCCTTGCAGTTAAGTAACCATGAAGCTAGTATTTTTGGACAACAGATCATTGTAAGTTCTTAAAATGAAAGCCCTATAATGACAGAGATTTTGTCTGTTGTATTCACTGCTAAATCTCTAGCATCTAGAACAGAACACAGCTAACAGCAGGCATTCGATTCTACTCATTTGCCGAATGAATGGCGTGGCCTCTCTCTCAGGATTTTCATTAGGTTAACTTGTCTAATTAAGCCCCTCGTAGTCAAGTTAGGTCAAAGATAGACTCAAGAGTACTGGTTCCCTGGATTATTTCCTTTACCTTCTGGAAATGAAATGGTCACTAAAGTCAGTCAACAGTGGCTCTGCTTTCATTGAATGAGACTTCCTGCAGACATCTGGATAGTTAACTTTGATATCTTAGCTCTGTTCCAGTTCTGTGATTAATTTCCACAACTTATTATCCACCTAAAAGATTACAGAATTAAGCTATCACCCTCAGTCTTGTGGATTTTCATGCATTTATCTTCTTGACACAGAGAACTACTACACCCGCCCCTCACAGCAAGTCATGACCACATATATTCTTCACTTTTAGGGCAGCTCCTCATATAATGGCATTTTTAGATGCCTTGTCATGTCTGTGTTCTAGACAATGCTACCAAGGACATTACATGTACCACTGAAAATAAAATCTCAAGCTCAACAACAGGGCAAGAAATGGTCCCTAGGTGGCTGAGTTTCCTTTTCAATAAATATCAAATAGCCAGTGGCCACAGTGATAAGAAGGGAAAGGGGTCCATTGTGCTACAGTTCCCTTTTTCATAAATTCATTAATTCCAATATTTATTTATTAAGTAAATATTTTAATAGATATTTATTAATATGCTCCAGCTCATTCTATTTTCACTATTTATGAATCTGTTCTGAATAGTGGGATATACATACAGTAGGCATCATGACAGTAGTGAAATAGGACCCAGAAGCCGCAGATCAGGAATCTAGCAATTACTAGCTAGTCACACAGAGCTGTGTGAAGTTTGGCTGCCTCTTCCATAAACTACCCCACAGAGTTGCTATGTGGAGCCTAAGAAATTATATAACCTCAGTAAACATTGTTGACAAATTTTATAGCTCTATGTAAATGCTCAGTACTAGCTGCACACCTTATGACAGACAGTGCCATCTGAAGGAAGAAAAAGATCACTGCAAGCTTTCCTCAGATCAGTGTGAGGAAAATGATGTTCTGTTTCATAACGCTATTTCCAGGGAAGCACTGAAAAAAAAAATAGGAAGTCCCTGTATTTTCTGCTTTTTCCTTGTCTTGTGGCTTCCACAAGAAAAAAAAGAAGTAAAAGGAAAAAACAACAAAAAAGGTTATAATAATGATATTTATTCTTATAGGTTGATTAGAAAGCATACTTTTTCCTCATCAAACAGTAACACCCAAAAGACTTGTTAGTCTTTCACCAAATGCCAAAAAATCCTGGAAAATTCCCTTTTAAAGTAACACTACGTGCTTGCCTAATTTTCTCAATTCAATAGTATTAGAGAAGTTGCCATTGGAAAGACTTTTTTTCAAAAATGTTATGTGCCAAAGAGGAGACTGTGATAAATCAGGGTTATTTTAAGAATTAGGCAAAATAATGTACAGAATAATAAGTGCCCAATAAATTCTGTTAAATCAAAATCTGCCATGATTTGAAGCAGCCTTCTTGAAAATAAAGGTTAGTTTATATGGATTTAACTATTCTAAATCCCAGCTCTCCAGAGTTTAATATATATTGATAGATTGATTAGCAACTTTCTCAAAGATCTCATATAGTCTTTACAACACATCAGTAAAAATAAAAAATCTTTATGAGAAAAAAAGATAACACCATTTATATCATTTCATAAATGACATGAATAAAGGAATAAACATGAATAACTTAGAATCTTATGTTGTCATAATGGCAGAAATTTTAGATATCATATTCTCTAACCCCACATTCTACAGTTGAGAAAAACTGAGGCCTACAGGTCCAAGGTCACAGAAATGATTAGTCACTGGACTCTACTATCCCAGTTGTCTTGGAGTTACATATGTTTTGGGGGGTAATTAACTAAAACTGAAATAAGCAAGTTTAGAAGATACATAGCCTTTCTTCTTCTGTCGATTAGAAATTAGACAACAGGCAAAGGCGTTTCCCTAACACTAAATACTACCTCTAAATGGTATCCAGAACCTTTACTCAAGTCCACTGGATTGTAATACATACACCTGGAAACAAGATTTTTAAACCTCTCTCTACAAACTTTTTAGACTACAACACAGAACTATATGTCTGAAATGCAGGACACTGGTGGGGGGAAGGGGACCAAAGAGGGGGAGGGGGAAACTGCACTTGTTCAGATTAATATAATTCTCTTTAAAGAATAAGCCAGTTAAAACATATCAGTTGAACTGTACAATATTTAAGCAAGAAAATATCTGTTAATCTAAGCTTTACTGTGTAACTTTTTAGTCAATACTAGATGTGTTAAGCAATAACCATCAGAATGATTCCTAACTAAAGAGAGGAGCTCCTGGGATCATGGCGAAGGGAGGCAGGACTAGATTGCAGCTCTGGACAGAGCAGCATGTGGTGGCTTGCATTGTGAATTTGAGCTCCAGATCCACTGCAAGAACAAACCAGCAATCCCGAGAGGACCCACAGACCCTCTGAAGGAAGCGGATTGCTCCTGCAGGCCCCAGGAGACCCCCAAATACTGTGAGTGCCCCAACTGTGCAAGTGGGAAAGGGAGACCCTCCTCTCCTGAACACACACCCCCACTGGAGAAGCTGAAGGTCTGTTTGCTGGAGAAGTTTCTGACCTTACCTGAGCTGAATCAAGTTAGAGAGCCAAGCCTAGTGAATTACAGGGGTAGAGAATGCAGCAGAAAGGCCCTGGGAGCTCCCTGGGTCCTTAAGTAGCCCATTCCTGCCTGGCACCACAAGGATCCATTGGGAGGGTGGCTAGAGGAGCAGGGGGTAAAACCCCACAGGGAAAGGAATTCTCTAGCCTAACTTTCTAACAATTTGAACGCGGTGAGAAGCCTGCTGGCCAGAACTCCGGGGAGGGTGCAAATCCAGCTCGCAGACTTCACAGGTGGAAGGAAGAACTAAAGCCCTTTTCTTTCGTAGCTGAGAGGTGGATAGCCTCGGGGAAGTTTTCAAGCCCATCTAGCCCTCAGCCTGGAAACAGACTCCCGGCAGTTAGGGGGGACACGGTGGGAGTGAGAGTGGCCCTTCTGTTTGCGTGGGAGCTGGGTGAGGGCTCCGACTGCTGGCTTTCCCCCACTTCCCTGACAACCTTCATGACTCAGCAGAGGCAGCCATAATCCTCCTAAGTACACAACTCCAGTAAACTGGGAATCTCACCCCCAATTCCCCACAGCAGCCCCAGCACGACCCAACCAAGGAGCTGCTGAGCTCATACACACCTAGCCCCACCCCCACCTGATGGTCCTTCCCTATCCACCCTGGTAGCAAAAGACAAAGGGCATTTAATCTTGGGAGTTCTAGGGCCCTGCCCACCGCATATCTTTCTCTGTACTACTACAGCTGATGCTTTCTGGAAAGCGCCACCTCCTGGCAGGAGGCCAACCAGCACAAAAATAGAGCATTAAAACATGGCCAACCAGTACAAAAATAGAGCATTAAACCACCAAAGCTAAGGACCCTCACGGAGTCCACTGCACCCTCCACCACCTGCACCAGAAAAGGCGCTGGTATCCATGGCTGAGAGACCCATAGATGGTTCACATCACAGGACTCTGTGTAGACAACCCCCAGTACCGGCCTGGAGCCAGGGAGACTCGCTGGGTGGCTAGACCCAGAAGAGAGACAACAATCACTGCAGTTCGGCTCACAGGAAGCCACATCCATAGGAAAAGGAGGAGTATACTACATCAAGGGAACACCCCGTGGGACAAAAGAATCTGAACAACAGTCTTCAGCCCTAGACCTTCCCTCTGACAGAGCCTACCCAAATGAGAAGGAACCAGAAAACCAACCCTGGTAATATGACAAAACAAGGCTCTTCAACACCCCCCCAAAATTTCTCTAGTTCACCAGCAATAGATCCAAACCAAGAAGAAATCCCTGATTTACCTGACAAAGAATTCAGGAGGTTAGATATTAAGCTAATCAGGGAGGGACCAGAGAAAGGTGAAGCCCAGTGCAAGGAAATCCAAAAAATGATATAAGAAGTGAAGGGAGAAATATTCAAAGAAATAGATAGCATAAAGAAAAAAAACAATAAAAAATTCAGGAAACTTTGGACACACTTTTAGAAATGCAAAATGCTCTGGAAAGTCTCAGCGATAGAACTAAACAAGTAGAAGAAAGAAATTCAGAGCTCGAAGACAAGGTCTTCGAATTAACCCAATCCAACAAAGACAAAGAAAAAAGAATACGAAAATATGAACAAAGCCTCCAAGAAGTCTGGGATTATGTTAAATGACCACACCTAAGAATAATCAGTGTTCCTGAGGAAGAAGAGAATTCTAAAAGCTTGGAAAACATATCTGGGTGGATAATTGAGGAAAACTTCCCTGGCCTTGCTAGAGACGTAGACATCCAAATACAGAAGCATAAAGATCACCTGGGAAATTCATCTCAAAAAGATCTTCGCGTAGGCACATTGTCATGAGGTTATCCAAAGTTAAGATGAAGGAAAGAATTTTAAGAGCTGTGAAACAGTAGTACCAGGTAGCCTATAAAAGAAAACCTATCAGATTAACAGCAGATTTCTCAGCAGAAACCCTATAAGCTAGAAGGGATTGGGGCCCTAACTTCAGACTCCTCAAACAAAACAATTATCAGCCAAGAATTTTGTATCCAGCAAAATTAAGCATCATATATGAAGGAAAGATACAGTCTTTTTCAGACAAACACATGCTGAGAGAATTCGCCATCACCAAGCCACCACTAGAAGAACTGCTAAAAGGAGCTCCAAGTCTTGAAACAAATCCTGGAAACACATCAAAACAGAACCTCTTCAAAGCATAAATCACACAGGGCCTATAGAACAAAAATGCAAGTTAAAAAGCAAAAACAAAACAACAACAAACAAAAGTACAGAGGCAACAAGGAGCATGATGAATGGAACCATACCGCACATTTCAATGCTAAAATTGAATGTAAATGGCCTAAATGCTCCACTTAAAAGATACAGAACCACAGAATGGATAAGAATTCACCAATCAACTATCTATTGCCTTCAGGATACTCACCTAACACATAAGCACTCACATACGGTAAAGGGGTGGGAAAAGGCATTTCATGCAAATGGACACCAAAAGCCAGCAAGGTATTCTTACATCAGACAAAACAAACTTTAAAGCAACAGCAGTTAAAAGAGACAAAGAGGGACATTATATAATGGTAAAAGGCCTTGTCCAACAGGAAGATATCACAATCCTAAACATATATGCACTTAACACTGGAGCTCCCAAATTTATAAAACAATTACTAATAGACCTAAGAAATGAGACAGCAACACAATAATAGTGGGGGACTTCAATACTCCAATGACCAGACAGGTCATCAACACAGAAGGTCAACAAAGAAACAATGAATTTAAACTATACCTTGGAACAAATGGACTTGACAGATATATACAGACATTTCATCCAACAACTGCAGAATATACATTCTATTCAACAGCACATGGAACTTTCTCCAAGATAGATCATATGACAGGCAACAAAACGAGTCTCAATAGATTTAAGAAAACTGAAATTATATCAAGCACTCTCTCAGACCACAGCGGCATAAAACTGGAAATCAACTCCAAAGGGAAGCTTCAAAACCATGCAAATACATGGAAATTAAATAACCTGCTCCTGAATGAGCATTGGGTCAAAAACGAAATCAAGATAGAAATTAAAAAATTCTTCGAACTGAATGACAATAATGACACAACCTATCAAAACCTCTGCGATGGAGCAAGGGTGGTGCTAAGAGGAAAGTTCACAGTCCTAAATGCCTACATCAAAAAGTCTGAAAGAGCACAATCTAAGGTCACACCTCAAGGAACTAGAGAAACTAGAACAAAGCAAACCCAAACCCAGCAGAAGAAAGGAAATAACCAAGATCAGAGCAAAACTAAATGAAATTGAAACAAACAAAAAAAATACAAAAGATAAATGAAACAAAAAGCTGGTTCTTTGAAAAGATAAATAAAATTGATATATCATTAGCAAGATTAACCAAGAAAAGAAGAGAGAAAATCCAAATGACCTCATTAAGAAATGAAATGGGAGATACTACAACTGACACCACTGAAATACAAAAGATCATTCAAGGCTACTACGAATACATTTACAGACATAAACTAGAAAGTCTAGAAGAGATGGATACATTCCTGGAAAAATACAACCCTCCTAGCTTAAATCAGGAAGAATGAGATACCCTGAACAGACCCAGCGAGATTGAAATGGTAATTTAATAATTACCACTAAAAAAAAAGTCCAGGACCAGACAGATTCACGGCAGAATTCTACCAGACATTTAAAGAATTGGTACCAATCCTTTTGACACTATTCCACAAGAAAGAGAAAGAGGGAACCCTACCTAATTCATTATATGAAGCCAGCATCACACTAATATCAAAACCAGGAAAGGACATAACCAAAAAGAGAAAACTACAGAACGATATCCTTGATGAACACAGATGCTAAAATCCTTAACAAAATACTAGCTAACCAAATCCAAGAACATGTCAAAAAGATAATCCACCATGATCAAGTGGGTTTCATACCAGGGATGCAGGGATGGTTTAACATACGTAAGTCAATAAATGTGATACACCACATAAACAGGATTAAAAACAAAAATCACATGATCATCTCAATAGATGCAGAAAAAGCATTCAACAAAATCCAGCATCCTTTATGATTAAAATTCTCAGCAAAATCGGCATACAAGGGTCATACCTTAATGTAATAAAAGCCCTCTATGACAAACCCACAGCCAACATAATACTGAATGGGGAAAAGTTGAAAGCATTCCCTCTGAGAATTAAAACAAGACAAGGATGCCCACTCTCACCACTCCCCTTCAACATAGTACTGGAAGTCCTAGCCAGAGCAATCAGACAAGAGGAAGAAATAAAGGGCATCCAAGTCAGTAAAGAGGAAGTCAAACTTTCACTGTTTGCTGATGATATGATTGTTTACCTTGAAAACCCTAAGGACTCCTCTAGAAAGCTCACGGAACTGATAAAAGAATTCAACAAAGTTTCTGGATACAAGATTAATGTACACGAATCAGTAGCTCTTCTATACACCAACAGCGACCAAGTGGAGAATCAAATAAAAGAACTCAACCCCTTTTACAATAGCTCCAAAAAAAAAAAAAAAAAAAAAAACTTAGGAAGACACCTAACAAAGGAATTGAAAGATCTCTACAAGGAAAACTACAAAACACTGCTCAAAGAAATCACAGATGACACAAACAAATGGAAACATATCCCATGCTCATGGATGGGTAGAATCAATATTGTGAAAATGACTATACTGCCAAAAGCAATCTACAAATTCAATGCAATCCCCATCAAAATACCACTATCATTCTTCACAGAATTAGAAAAAAAAATCTAAAATTCATATGGAACCAAAAAAGAGCCTGCATAGCCAAAGCAAGACTAAGTGAAAAGAACAAATCTGGAGGCATCACATTACCTGATTTCAAACTATACTATAAGGCCATAGTCACCAAAATAGTGTGGTACTGGTATAAAAATAGGCACATAGACCAATGGAACACAATAGAGAACCCAGAAATAAACCCAAATACCTACAGCCAACTGATCTTTGACAAAGCAAACAAAAACATAAAGTGGGGAAAGGACATTCTTTTCAACAAATCATGCTGGAATAATCAGCTAGCCGCATGTAGGAGAATGAAACTGGATCCTCATCTCTCACCTTATACAAAAAATCAACTACACATGTACTAAGGACTTAAACTTAAGACCTGAAACTATAAAAATTCTAGAAGATAACATTGGAAAAACCTTTCTAGACATTGGCTTAGGCAAGGATTTCATGACAGAGAACCCAAAAGTAAATGCAATAACAACAAAGATAAATAGCTGGGACCTAATTAAACTAAAGAGCTTTTGCATGGCAAAAGTAACAGTCAGCAGAGTAAACAAACAACCCACAGAATTGGGAGAAAATCTTCACAATCTATACATCTGACAAAGGACTAATATCCAGAATCTACAACAAACTCAAACAAATCAGTAGGAAAAAAACAATCCCATCAAAAAGTGGGCTAAGGACATGAATAGACAGTTCTCAAAAGAAGATATATAAATGGCCAACAAACATATGAAAAAATGCTCAACATCACTAATGATCAGGGGAATGCAAATCAAAACCACAATGTGATACCATCTCACTCCTGCAAGAATGGCCATAATCAAAAAATCAAAAAACAGTAGATGTTGGCATGGACGTGGTGAACAGGGAACACTTCTGCACTGCTGGTAGGAATGTAAACTAGTACAGCCTCTATGGAAAACAATGTGGAGATTCCTTAAAGAACTAAAAGTAGAACTAACATTGGATCTAGCAATCCCACTACTGGGTATCTACTCAGAGAAAAAGAAGTCATTATTTGAAAAAGATACTTACACACGTTTATAGCAGCAAAATTCACAATTGCAAAATTGTGGAACCAACCCAAATGCCCATCAATCAACAAGTGAATAAAGAAACTGTGGTATGTAAGTATGTATGTATATGTGTGTGTATATATATATATATGATGAAATACAATGCAGCCATAAAAAGGAATGAATTAACAGCATCTGCAGTGACCTGGATGAGACTGGAGACTATTATTCTAAGTGAAGTAACTTGGGAATGGAAAACAAAACATCATATGTTCTCACTGATATGTGGGAGCTAAGCTATGAGGATGCAAAGGCATAGAATGATACAATGGACTCTGAGGACTTGGGGGGAAGAGTGGGAGGGGGGCGAGGGATTAAAAGACTACAAATATGGTACAGTGTATACTGCTTGGGTGATAGGTACACCAAAATCTCACAAATCACCACTAAATAACTTATTCATGTAACCAAATACCACCTGTACCCCAATAACTGATGGAAAAATTAAAAATAATAAAAATAAAAAGGTTTATTGGCAAAAAAAGAATGATTCCTAACTAAAGACAAAACAAAGTTCATTAGGAATATTATTTTTATATATTTACTTTTATTAATATAAAAACCTTTATAATCTATTTTATAGTGGATAATAAATACACTCTCGAGAATACTGAAGCAAAATCTGGTACTCACTAAATAGGGGAAATTAAAATATTTAATGGGCTTTGTGTGATCAAATTCCTCTTGGAATTTAAAATGCAGATCAGGGAAAGATATGACACTTAAAGTTCTAAATTAAATAACTGAATAAGAAAATTCATGAAAACCAATTTAACAATAATATAAATGGTTTCACAAACTGAAATCTTCCATAAGACAAATCATGATCCCATATTTATTGACTACTCACCATACTTCGTGGTATGTTCAACTTTCATTGAATCTATTAACTTTAAAAGAAATGATAGCAGTTGTTTAGCGCCCAGGCCCTTCTTGACAAATACTGAACTTGCTTCTCTGAAGAGTGCATTAAGGAGCATCTGACTAGAAGTCAAGATGTCATGTATTCTTAGGAAATAAAGATTGTGGTCTCCAGTTCCGTAGATACTAACATTGGGACAGCTTCAGGAAGGAAATGCTGTTAAGGCTTTTAACTACAGACCCTACAGAATCTTAGTAACAACTCATGCCTCAATGGGAAAATGAATTCAGAGTTCCAACTTGAATTGCTAGCAATATGTTTTGCCCCATTCTCCCCCAGCCCCCTGCCTGTCAGGGAGGGAGAAGAGATTCCTGTACCTCAAAGCCATTTGTGGTAGCTCCAACAATCTGGGGAAAGGGCCCCAAAAGTAGGATAGTACCACGTAAGGCAAACAGTAAGCCAGTTAGACATGTTGAGGTAATCTCAGCACTTTGCCGGACCTTTTTCCCGGGGAAGTCTCACAATGCAACACTCAAGTATACTGTAGTTTATTTTGTCTGTAAGGGCAAATCTTATGCATTCTAAACATTCTCAACAACCATCTTAGAAATGAGCCTCTGGAACACAGTCATATGTAAGACGTAACTGCCATACTCAAAAGACATTTTTTCAACTAATACTGAGGTAAGTGACAAGTTGATTGACAATAAAGGAAAACTGCCAGAGTTCGCATTTAATAAATTATTTTAAAATGAGAATCCATTCTACAATCAACTTTCAGAGAGTTAAACGATCTCTGGGTTAATGACCATATCACCTCCCTCAAAATTTTACAGATAAACTAAGGCAGACAGCAGTTAAGAGATTTCCCAAAAGTCAGAGGACTTAACAGCTAGGTCTGCAGAGTCCTATCCAATGTTTTTCCTAATACTGCATACAATTTTTGACAGACTACTCACAACCAAACTATATCTTTCAGAATTCTACCTTTCAGAGCATTTTAGCGATTAGGTCTGGCACAACTTACAACTGTAACTAGACGGTTTTCTGTGTGGACAGGACAGAAAACTGACTAATTACAGCTGTACTTAGTGCCAACTCCCAGGCACGCCTCCAAGCACCACAAACTTCTTGCCCCCCCACAAACTTCTCAAGATGTTTTACAGCTTTGTTATCTTTTTCCATGTTTCCACATTGTACATTTATACCAAAAAGTAAATGACTTGGAAGAAAAATGTTGCTCCTCTTGAAAAGAAGTATGTACATTTTAACAAGAAGTAACACCTTCAGCTCTAAAGAGCATCAGAAATTTCAGCATCGGAGGGTTAAGAATTGGCTCTGAACTAGATGTTCTATATTTAAAATGTGGGAATATAATAATCCTTAACTAGTGAATATGGAAATAAATGGTTGTGCTGTTCCTATATTTATTCTGTATTATGCATTTAAGCTAAGTTAAAGTAGAAAAATGTGTTTAATGAAATATTTCCAATTTATGTAGAATTGTGTAAAGAAAACTAAAAAAAAAAACATGTATAACAGCAGTAAGGCAGTAGTTCTGGGGGAAGAATGGAAATCTAAGACAGCAATGGCCCAGAAAGGTGTACATATTATTTTTTCATATTTCAGGGTGTCAATAAACAACATTGCCTATTTCGCTACCCCTCTCCCCAAGCCCATGAAATCTTGGTTAACATGCCATTCCGGCTGCCTTGAAACCTGGGGCGCTGACCTAGGGAGGAGAGGTTACTCTGGCTCCTTGCAGAACAAAGCTGGCCAGGAAATAAAGGAAACTCAGGCATAGGGCAGCCAGGCAAAATTTTAATAGAAATTCAGAGGAAGTCACACTAAAACGCACCAAACTTAAGCCTTTCAACAGGTAGTTCATTTTTCCTAAAAACAAACAAATTCGGCAACCAGATATCTCAGGAAGAACCTGTGTTTGGCCCTGAGCACCGCAAAAGGGTAGAAATTCTGAGATATTGTAGCTATAGAGAGAGAGACGGCATTTAAAGGAACTATGAAGGTTCATCCAGGTAAATCATCTCCCCGGCTTTCTATCCCTGTTAGAAGGAATGTGCTAGATGTTTTACACTGACTACTACATCCCTCCTCAAAAGAGACCTTTGGATTTTTATAGCATGATGATGATGATGATAATCTGGCTAACACCTACAGTGATTAATTACTACACATCAGGCACTATTGTAAGCACTCTAGGTAAGTAGAGTAGTTAGTTTAATCCTCCTAACAATCTCCTAAGTAACATTATTATCCCTAGTTGACACATATTGGAAACTGAAGCACAGTAAGGTTAGGTCATTGCTCAAAGTCACAGAGTTACTAAGTGTCAGGGCCAGGATTCAGACTCATGCAATCCCTTTGTATTCTATATACAAATTTCTATTCTCCAAAGCAGACATTGACTTCTCTCTCCAATAAGCCAGCTCTTCCTTCTTCATTCCTCTTTCAGTAAATGGCCTCTACCCAGTGACTGAGGTGAGAAACCAGAATAGCACTTCATCTAGTGCCTAGTCAATTCTCCCTCTTGACCACTTACTGGTTCACCTCTGCATCTGCTGCTCTATGACCTTGGGTACTCGACTTCCTCTTTCTAAGCCTCAGTTTCTCATCTATACAACTGAGTTCATAAGAGTAGCTGTAGTTGTTGCGAATATCAACATTAAACGAGATAATTCATGTAAAATGCATAGCACAGTGCCTGGCAGATTGCAGGAAAATCAATTATTATTAGATATTATCATCATCACCTTGAATCTGGTCCTTCCCCCTAATCTTACACCTAAGCATCCTTAGACCTTCAACTCCTCTCTTACTTGCAATACTAACAACCTCCTACTTGATCACACTGTCTGGTCTATTTTCTGTTTAATCTAAATATGCTACCACTAAAAATGTTACTCATATCCCTTGGAATGACAAATGTCACTCCAATTCATAGGGAAGAAGATCCCAACTGCTTATTATCAAAGTATGCAATACCTGCTACAATTTAGCTTTTCCAAACTCCCAACACATAACACGTTGTACCACCCTGCAATTCCTTCAAAGGGTATACACTTTCTCAACTAATTTTTTATCATGTTGCTATGGAAATTCCCATTAATTCCCAATTAATTACTTTTCCATATGCCTCTATCTTATCACTCACCACACTGTACTGTATTGTTTCTTTTAAAACTAGATTATACTTTTCTTAAGAAAGGAAACCAGATCTTATTTGATCAGAAAAATATGAGCATCTAACACAGTACCACAGATACAAGAGTTCAATAAATAAACACCAGTTCATTTAATACTAACTTTGATAGAAAACATTTTAATATTCAAATACCTTTAGGAAATGTTCCCCCAGGTAAGGCTCTGAGAAACAGACACATTTACAAAAGCCACTCTCTATTCCACAATTAGCATTTAAGGCACTACCGAAACACCTTAAAAACCTTACCAAACATTTTTCATATTAAAACCAAAAACCTTCAGCAATAAAATTTTGGATGCTTATTCATACTGTTAAAGATAATCCAAAGCATACAGTTTAAAAGTTCTTGAAAATCAATTATAAGCATGATAGTTTTCCATACCTCCTGAGGAATGCTAAAAACAGCTTGGAGCCTTATCCTAAATGTGAAATGAAAATAATAAAAATAATTTATGTAGCTGTACTATAATAATAAACTTTTTTCATATATATTTTGCATAAGGTTAAAGATTCTGCAAAATAAGTTTTAGAAGATTCTGCAAAATAAGTTTTAGACATACTGAACACAGATATTTATAAGCTTTAAATACACCTTGCACGTATAGATAGCACGTTTCCTCTTATTTCATAATTCTTAAGAAACAAAAAAATTAGCTTCCCTTCAAAAGAAAGAAAAAACAATAATTGAGGCAGTCAATTACAGAAAAATGTGTTTACTGTTATAAAACATTTCACACCAAGAAAGATAACCACAAGTTCAAACTCAGATCTGGTGGCTGAATCTACTGTTCTATAACCATGTGTGAAGATGGATAGTTAGGGGAGCAGAGCACAGAACAGAAATAAGAAAGAAATATATATAAATATTTTCTGAGCACAGGCATTTCAAATTCCACCCACATAATTTTTTTCCCTACCACACTGGGTAGTTTCTATCATACTCGGTAGTTTCTATCACTGTGGTCTAAATGTAGACTTGTATAAAGAAAAAGGGTTAAAGTTAAAGGGGTAAAATAAGGAAATTACATATTGAAAACCAAACACTATGGGTTTCTATGATGCACAGACATCTTTTGGTTATGAGATCACTTTCTTAAAATACATTAAAATTTTCAAATGGTTGGTAGTATAACAGAAAGAATAGTAGACTAAAAGTCAAGAGATTCTCAGTTTTCTGTTTTGCCTTGTTCTCTTTAGGATCTCAGGCAAGGTGCTTAACCTTTCTGATGCCCATTATTCTTACAGATATTTAAAAAACAAAAACTAGATGATCTCTAAATGCCTCTTTGGGTTGTGAACTTTTATGAGAGTACAACATTCAGAAAATGTAGTAAGTATCAACATTAATTTAAGATTAAAATTATACATCTTCAATGTTTCCTTAAACTGTGCATAATCAGGTTTTATCAAAACTGCCTTACTGGGTTCTGTTTTTTAAAAAATAAGGTGAAGAGAAAATAAATATATTTCAGTAATGTGGAGCAAATGACTTTAGAAACATTCTCCAAAATGTTTAAATAAGGCTAATAGAGAAATATTTCAAGACTAATTATCAGTATTACTGTCTTTGGAAGCATCACTAAGCAGAAATTCAGGAAATGGCAAAAGATTTTAATCTTGAACAAACTCTAAGTCATAATGCAGTAAAGGTACAATGAAGTCTAGACACTTAAATATGAAAAGTAGGATAAGAGTGAGCTGATGGATATAAGCAGCTCTTACAAGTTACACAGGATATACTGATTTTTTTTTTTTTTTTTTTTTTGAGATGAAATCTCACTCTTGTCGCCCAGGCTGGAATGCAGTGGTGCGATCTCGGCTCACTGCAGCCTCCACCTCCTAGGTTCAAGCGATTCTCATGCCTCAGCCTCCTCAGTAGCTGGGATTACAGGTGTGCGTCACCACACCTAGCTAATTTTTTGTATTTTTAGTAGAGATGGGGTTTCACCATGTTGGCCAGGTTGGTCTTGAACAATAGGCATAAACCAGAGCCATCTTAGGCAAATCAAGATGTTTGGTCATACCAGTGATAAGTAACCAGAGAAGCTATCACCTTAGAAATGGTTGTGGATGTTGAAAATAAGTGAATTGAGCCCTCAACTAGATGGGCATGAGTGGAGATTACTAGCCTAAGATGACTTTCTCTAGTCACATGATATTGCCCTGAAATATCATGGGCTATTTCTTCTGGGTACATCTTCCTATATAAGGATGTTGGGATTTGAAGAAAGTTCTAGATTCATCTCTAGATGAACATTCAGAAGTCATTAACATATAGGTGGTATATGAAAGCTTAGAAATAGATGAGATCATCAAAGGAAAGCACAAAGAAAGAGAAATGAGGAGGAGGAGAGAATCCAGAGGCTCACCAACATGAAGGAGCTGGCAAAGAAGAATCCAGCCAATGAGACTGAAGAGGAGTGGTTAGAGGGGTACGAGGAAAACCAAAAAAGAGGGGGGTGTGTCTGTGGGTGTGTGTGCGCGTGTGCACACAGGTGTATATATATACACACACACACGTATATATACACAAACATATGTAAATACACACACACACACACACACACACACACACACACACACACACATATATATATAAAATTTCACAAGCCAAGAGAGAAGAGAGGGTTAAGAAATGAATGGTTAATATTTTCATATGCATCACTTTGGGGGCCAGGAAGACAAGTCAGTATTCTCCTAGTTTCCCAAGATGACTTGTAAGTCATTGTTATTCGATTTTATCCACTTTTAAGATTACATTATAGCTATATTTATAGTTGTCACCTACTGACCTTTGAGTCAGCCATCTCCATTTACTGAGAATTTTGTCGTATGACTATCTTCCTTTCCACACAGAAGCTATATATTCTGGGGACTTCATTATCCATAAGAACAATTGATTCCAACACACAAGACTTAATGCTCTTTGCCTTCTTCTTCAATGACCCCTACTTTGCAGAAGGCTAGCATGGTTTAGTAGTCAGGCATAAGTGCTTCAATGCTAGAAGGACTCAGAAAGACTCAGGTACTTCGTAGCTGTGAGTCTTGGGAAAAGTTACTCAATCTCACTGAGCTCCAGTTTCCTCATCTGTAAAATGTTGATACTAATATGTGAAACATAAGCATGATAACCTATGGAAAATATTTACTATAGTGACTACTACACAGTGTTCAATGAATAGTAGTTTTTATTAATATTAATATTGTTATAATTAGCACTATTAATCTTGGCTATCCACCCATCATTGGTCATTCTTTGGCCCTTATCATCACCTGAAACTGCTAACTCCAGAATCTTAAATTGAGAATTCTCACATCTATGTGCCAATTTTTCCATCTCTAGTACTCTTTTATTTCCATTAATCCTGCACTTGACTCATTTAGATTCTTCATCCTCTTCATTATCCACATTTACCAGCCTTGTCTTGGCTTGGCTTTGTTCCTTAATAAGCAGGATTCCTATGGCTCAACCCTTCAATTAGCAGCCTCATTACCACTCTCTATTCCTTGACTTCCCACTACCCCCTACTCAAGTTTTCCATCACATCTTCCCTTCCAATCTCAATCCAGGTTCAGTCTACTTGTTTTCTGCATTGTTATGGGGGTGGGGAAGGGGAGTGGTCCAAGTTCAGTCTATTTGTTTTCTGCATTGTTATGGGGGGCAGGGAAGGGGAGTGGGAGCAGGCAGGCTGCTGGAGAACACTGCTTAACCATCCTGCTGGCCTCTGTACATTTGTGATTTCAAGCCTGGAAGGGTATTCATCATGATTCAGCAAAGAAGTCACATGCCCCTAGTTAAGTCCCTTTTACAATCTCAATAGTAACTTTTATTTTCCCCTCAAGCATACTCCAACCCATGTTCTTCCTTCTCAATCTCAGCAGATAATCTTGCTTCACAGAGAAAAAGAGATGTCATCCTGGATACTAACTTATATCTATATCTACCCCATTTCCTTTTCGTTTTTAAACAGGAAGATACATCATTCCTCTTCTTCAGGGTAACTCTTTCATTTGTCCTCCTGGACCTGACTCTTCCATTTCCTCTCGTTACATTTGATCAATTATCTTCTACCTCTTGTGACTTCAATTTTCTTCCTCTTCAATGGTCCCTTTCCCTCAATCCACTGAAGTGTCCTTGGCTTCTCCATCCTTAAAACAGACAAACCTTCCCAATGATCACATCTACTTCCTCAAGCTTCTACCCACTAACCTCCCTTCATTACCAAAAGTATTTGAAAGAATATATTTACTGAACAAATGAAAATTGTTTTATTGGGTTTAGGCTTCTCTCCTGAGCACCAGGCCTTTTTTTTTTTTTAAATGTATCTATATCTGACTCAGTTTCAACAAAGGAAATAAAACAGCTAATTCCACCAAACTGAAGAAAACTGATGGATTTCACATCTCCAAATCCACTCCTCCACCCGTATTTTTTAAATTACGAGTAATTATCTGCATCCCCATTCACCCTCAGACAATCTAGAATCCTTAAAGCCTGCTTTGATTCCTCCCTCTCCTTTATCCATAACTACACAAGGCCTTTCTAAAATCTCTCACATCTGTCCCCTTTGCGCCTTCCTGGGATTATTACTGTTGAGGTCTTTCTCATCTTACACGAATTGAAAGGGATGTTGTCAGGGTTAAATAAAATAATAAATGGGAATGTACTCTGTAAGTTATAAAGTAGTACTATACAAAGAGTATCATACAAATACTATTACATCTTTGGCAAAGTAAGCATGAAGTTAGCTTAATATGACTTGTTCTTAAACAAATTCTGGGTCTTAGTAATCAGTGCTTTCTTTTCTAATTACAAATCACTAAGCACTTGGCAAGCTGGTCTATAGTTTTTCTAGGAATCAGTCAGTGTCAAGATTTTCAATATATAGTTTCTGGACTTTACCTTCCTCTCCCCCCATTTTTAAATGTAAAATATGCAATTCTTCAGGTTTCTGGCAGAAATCTTCTATCCTCTTTTTTAAAAAAAGACTTTATTTTTTAGAAGAGTTTTAGGTTCACAACAAAACAGAGAGGCAATTACAGAGTTTCCATGTACACCCTGCTCTCTCACACATGTACAGCCTCCCCAACTATGGACAGCCCCCCTAAACTGGTACATTTGTTATAATCAATGAACCTACACTGACAGGTCATTATCACCCAAAGTCCACAGTTTACATTAGGATTCACTCTTGATGTGGTATATTCTATGGGTATCGACAAATGTATAATAACATGTAGCTACCACTGTAGTATCTTCAGAATAGTTTCACCGCCCTAAAAATCTTCTGTGCTCTGCGTATTCATCCCTCCTTCTCTCCACCACTAATCTTTTTACTGTCTCCATAGTTTTGCCTTTCCCAGAATGCCATACACTTGTAATCATAAAGTATGCAGACTTTTCAGTTTGCCTTTTTTCACTTAGTGATATGCACTAAAGATTTCTTCATGTCTTTTCATGGTCAAGCCACTTTTAAACACAACTTTACAGGTATAACTGACATGTAACAAACCACATATTTAAAGTGCATAATTTGATATGTTCCAACATATGTGTACACCCATGAAACCATCATCAAATCAAGATAGTAAACATATCTAGTATCCCCTGAAGTTTCCTAGTATGCCACTGTTCTCCCTCTTTCCTGCCCCTTCCCTCTGTAACTTATCTCCAGGCCAGCATTGATCTTTCTTCCATTATAGATTAATAGGCATTTTCTAGAATTTTACAGATGGAACAATGCAGTATGTACTTTTTTTTTCTTTTTGGTCTGGCTTTTTTTCGTGCTGTGTAATTATTTTGAGATTTATCCATGTTGTTGTGTGATCTAAAGTTCATTCCTTGTTATTGCTAAGTAGTAATCTGTTATATAAACATTGCTTTTTAAAGATGAGTGGCAGTAGTTTTATAAACATTTCTAATATGTGTAGTACTCTACCCTATTGTTCATTTATTTCTTCCATTCAGTTAAAATAGTGAAAAGCTCTCTTATGTCCTCATCCATTTTATGTTTTAATTTCAAAGAATCATATTTGAATGGAACAATGACTAGCCTTTTGAAAATTATTTGATTCCTTTCTTGATTAAGATAATCAATTTTAAGCATTAATCTTTCATGTTATTAGGTAAGATTTTTGTTTTTCAGCAGTTAGACCTGGAAAGCCTTCAACATTTCCAAACGTATTGGACCTCTCTCATTACTGTAAACAAAGTTGGGGGATTAAGAGTTACAAAGCCAAACACTGGTGACACACAGCAGCAAAATAAAATAATATCAAAGACAATACAGTGCCCTCAAAGACTCCAAGATCAGTTTATAATTAGTTATTAATCTGACAGATTTTTATACATTTTTAAGATATATTTAGGTTGAAAATCCATTTTAAAAAATTAGCTTATTTCCTGGTTCTTAAAGTGTAGACCTTAAATTCCAGAAGACTGATATATACATATATATGTTTTGTTTGTTTGTTCTGTTTAGAGATGACGTGTTGCTGTGTTGCCCAGGCTGGACTCGAACCAGGCTCAAGCGATCCTCCCACCTCAGTCTTCCAAGTAACTGGGACTATAGGCACAAGCCATGGCTCCTGGCTTCGGAGACTGATAGACTTTTTATCCAAGTTTTACAGGGCAAATTCTATTGCTACAAATACTATATAATTTGATTTAGAAGATCTTCATTTAACATGTGATGGCCCATTTATTTCAAGCCATCTTTACTGAAACAAAACAATTAGGCTAATCCCTGCATATTACTAACTTACCAGTGTTAAATGAAATTTATAGGAGGTCACTGGTTTAGACTGAGTTCCTCCTGCACTAGGGACAACAGATCAAATCAAAATGGAGTCACTCATGCTGAAGTTCCACTTCACCAAGCCAAAACTAAGTTGTTTATCTGACCTTCCAAGCAATCAGGAGAGACAGAGTTAGTAGTCAAATCCCAAACAGGCCAGTTGATATGATATGATATGACTGACATAAGGAAGTCCCATCTGCTTTAACCCTAATAAGAAAAGTAACTTTAAATGACCAATTTGCTTTTTCTTTTCTGTTTCTGTTTTCCTCACCCCTTTTCAGTGTATACGGTAGTATCCCTTTATCCGCAGATTCATTTTCCAAGGTTTCAGTTACCTGAGGTCAACTGTGGTCTGAAAATATTAAATGGAAAATTCCAGAAATAATTCATAATTTCAAATTGCACCCTGTTCTGAGTAGCATGATGAAATCTCATCCTGCCCTATAGTGTATATAGGATTCAGTACTATCCACCATTTCAGGCTTCCACTGGGGATCTTAGAACATATCTCCCCAAGGCCGGGTGCGGTGGCTCATGCCTGTAATCCCAGCACTTTGGGAGGCCAAGATGGGCAGATCACTTGAGGTCAGCAGTTCGAGACCAGCCTGGGCAACACGGTGAAACCCCATGTCTACTAAAATTACAAAAATTAGCCGGGCATGGTGGCAGGCATCTGTAGTCCCAGCTACTCAGGAGGCTGAGGCAGGAGAATCGCTTGAACCTAGGAGCCGGAGTTTGCAGTAAGCTGAGATCACCCCACTGCACTCTGGCCTGGGCAACACAGCAAGTCTCCATCTCAAAACAAACAAACACACACACACACACACACACACACACACACACACACACACCCCTTCAAGATAAAGTGAGACTACCATAAAACCAACCACTTCTGCTCGGCTCATGAGAACACTTGTTCTATTTTATAAAATGAGGTGTTGCCTGATTCTACAATGGCAAAGGTGAAGTAAGATCTTTAAGCTAAATTTGTTGTAATTTTGTCTTTTGACATTACAAAGTATTAAAAATGAGTCATTTCCTTTGTAATTTTGCAAATGGCCAAGTAAAGCCACACTTGATAACATTTTAGGGCTTAAAAAAAATCTTGAACTTGGCCCAGCACGGTGGCTCACGCCTGTAATCCAGGCACAGTTGGGGGCCGAGGAGGGCAGATGATGAGGTCAGGAGATTGAGATCATCCAGGCTAACACAGTGAAACCCCATCTCTGCTAAAAACACAAAAAATCAGCCGGGTGTGGTGGCACACACCTGTAGTCCCAGCTACTCTGGAGGCTGAGGCAGGAGAATTGGCTGAACCTGGGAGGTGGAGGTTGCAGTGAACCAAGATCTCGCCTCTACACTCCAGCCTGGGTGACAGAGCGAGACTCTGTCTCCACGGAAATCTTTAGTAAAAGGCGAAAGATTTATACAATTTGAAGAGAAACCAGAGAATGACTCTGTCTAAAAAAAAAAAAAATGTTGAACTTAAGCCGGCAACCAGATAATTCAGGAAAAGATTAATCAGATGAAGGTGTTCAAGTTAAATACAGCAACAGACCAAAAAGGTACTCTGAAATTCCAGACTATATGGCTCTCTCTACAACCGAAGCTAACAAACACACTATGTGAGTGCAATCAAACAAAAATAAAACTACAATTGGGAAAAGAATGACTAGGTTGGTCCAAAAGAATTAAGAAGAAAATAATCATGAAATCAAAGCTGGCAGTTTATGGGTGAAATTTTTAACCCCCTGGTATAGTCAAGGTAACGTAAAAAGTGTCTTCAAAACAAAGTCACTTGTGTTTACTACTAATAATCTCAGCTTTGACAAAAATTCTTTGCTTGGCCAAACTTACTCAGGCTTTTGAATTTTCTGTGAGGCCCATCTGTGCACTTCCTTGTAAAATCCAGTATTAGCAAAGAACCCTGCTAAGTCTGTTTAGCATAACATCCTGGATATCTAATCATCCTAAATATCTGATCAGGTTCCTCATCCTCCACCATTCCCCAGGTAATGTCTGATCGCCCTGGCCTGTCTTCAGCAAGAATCCCGTTAGGTCGGCTTAGCCAGAATCCCCCTTATCCCTGATGTTTCCTTTTAGCAATTTTCCATCCACGATCCCCACACTGCTGCTTGGCTATAAATTCCCATTTTCTCATGCTGTATTCGGAGTTGAGCCCAGTCTCCCTCCCCTACTGCAGGGCCCCACTGCAGAGGTCTCTATACCTATTGAGATGGTTCTGAATAAAGCCTTACTTACCATTCTTAAACAAGTATCATTGAATATTTTTTTCTTTAAAAACGTGAATGTCTAATTTTATTGTCTTCTAACCAACTCCCACCCTTCTCCCCACCAAACCTACTCCTCTCGTAAACCTAATCTCAGTAAACAAGTACCCCATCTTTCTACTTGTTCGGAACTAAATTTTGGTGTCTTTTACATCTCTACCCTCAATTTATCCTGAAATCAATGACCTCTCACCACCTCCACCAATTCCACTCTGGTCCAAGCTACATTATCTCTGGCCTGGATTAGGGCAACAGTTCCGGATTGGTATCCCAGCTTCTGCTCCTGCTCAACCCTTCCCCTACAACAAAGTCTATTCTCCATCCAGCGCCCAGAATGATCATTTTTAAAAGGCAAGCCTGGGGCCGAGCGCAGTGGCTCACGCCTACAATCGCAGAATGTTGACACGCCAAGGTGGATGGATCGCTTGAGCCCAGGAGTTTGAGACCAGCCTGGGCAACAATGGCGAAACCCCATCTTTACAAAAAATTAGCCAAGCATGGTGGGTGATGTGTGCCTGAAGTCCCAATTACTTCAGAGGCTGAGGTGAGAGGATCACCTGAGCCTGGGAAGTCGAGGCTGCAGTAGGTTGTGATCATGCCACTGCACTCCAGCCTGGGAGACAAAGTGAGATCCTGACTCAAAACTAAAAATAAAAGGTAAGGTTCTTTACTCAAAGAGTGGACTCCCCTTTCCACTGAGAGTAGAAACTCAAGTCCTTAAAAGGGCCTACAAGGCCTTATACAGTCTAATCTCCCACCACACTCACCTCTTTGACTTTATTTCTACTCCTCTTTGCTTTTTCCACCACAGCCAAATCAGCCTCTCTGCTGTCCTCAAACAAGCCCAGCACACAGGGCTTCTGCAAGCCCTTCTGCCTTCCTCTCTGCTAGCACATCCTTCCCTCAGAGAGGTACATGGATTACCCCTCACTTACTTCTGGTCTTGGCTCAAATGATATCTTTTCTAGGAAGCTTTCCCTGGCTGCCTCTAGTTAAAATTGCAAACCTCTCCCGGTTCCCTGCCCTCCCTCTTCCCTGCCCTCCCTCTTCCGTGCTTTTTCTCTGTAGTACTTAACACCATCTGACACAGCACATATTTTATTTGTTTATTATCTGAGGTCCCCACTAGAATATAAGCTCCATGAAGGAGCAGATATTTATGTTTTCTTAGAAAAGTATCTGACACGCAGTAGGTGCTCAATAAATATTTACTAAATACATATATATAATTATATAGTTTGTGAAGTATTTTTATGCAAATTACAGCAATTCATTTTTCCTTATGCCCTCTCTTCTTCAAATTCTCCAATCTTTGTAGTAACAATATGGATGACAGCAAAGAGCTATCAGAAAAAGAGTTGTTGGCCACTTAACAAAGCTCTTTAAAACAGATACCCCATATTAATCAACTACATCTATAAATTGAAAGCTTAAAGTCAACATCTTTATTAGCATAGATGAATCTAGGCGTGGAATTTTAAAATAATAGCGCAGAAGAGCCAAGAATCATCAGGAAGAAAAGTCTAATTCAGTTTGTCCTATCAATCTGTTAAACAAACAATAGGAAAATGCAACCTGCATTTGATCTTCAAGGAAACACTGGCCCAAATTCAACACGAACGCATTCAACACAAGATTCGACTCCCTTAAAATTTTCTATCTGCTTAAAACAAACCCCATTAACTATCAAGTGCCGTCGCTGGGTGTGTATGGTCTGCCGAGCGGATCGGGGATGTTTTGCTATGTTTTGTTTAACCAGATAAGAATTAGCGTTAAGGAAACGTTTCTTAAAGCCTCTGTATCCCCTGGACCATTAAACAACCCCTTCGTTGGGCTTTACACTGTGGTACCGGGGTCTTCTCGGGTAATTTCCCAGCTTATTTAACTCATCAGAAGCGAAGGGGCATCTCAGTCAGGCTCCAGTGATACCGGAGACAGACGGCAGATGTCTCAGGGGATCCCCTGGAAAGAGAGGCTCTCGCCCAGTCAAAGGGTGTCACGGACAGGAGGAAAGAGCGGACCGAGGCGCACGGTGTAGGTGACAGGTGGGCGAGCGCCGCAGGGCAACAGCGCGGGGAGTGACCGGCTGGGTGGTGGCGCGGAAACCGTCAACTCCCATCGTCAACCTGACAGCTTGGGCCCAGCTGGGCTGAGTAGTGCAGCGGCACAGGATCAAAAAATAAAATAAAGGTAGCAACACACCGCCGTCAGCCTGCTCGACCTCGCCCCCCGCGCGCTGCGAAATAAAGTTAGTGCCCAGTGGCCGCTGCAATGGCCCAGAGGGGCCCAGCCGAGCTCCCGCCCGCGGCCCGGCGGCTGTCAAAGGCGGCCCGGCGCCGCGAGAAGTCCCAGAGCCCAGAAGCCAGAGAGGACGCCCCGAGCTGGCGCGTCAGGCCGAGTGCCCTCGCGCCCTCGCGCCCTCAGCCCGGCGGTCCCGGCCCTCAACCCAGGCTGACAGCCACCAGCCCCAAACCGCCTCCCCTCCAGGCCACGCAGAGGGGCCGGGACCCGGAACCTTCTGCCGGCAGCGTCGGCGCCCGGCGGCCGCCTTTACCTGGTTTGTGGCAGCTGCGGCCGCCGCGCACTCCCCCTCTCCCGGAGAACCCCGAGCCGACGCCGCTGCCGCCGCCGCCGCGCACTCCCCACCCCCGCCCGCCCAGGTAACCCAGGAAACCGAGAACACCACCCCCTCCCTCCCCTCGTCCGGACCCAGACCCGCTCGTCTGCGCGTGCGCCCTTGGCTCCGCCTCGCGCGTGTAAGCCCCGCCTCCTCTGGGAGGGCAGCGCCGGCGTCGCAGGCGTGACGCGTGGAACTGCCGAGCCAATAGGGAAGGCAGGGGGGCGGGCCGACCCGCGGGGCTGCAGCCGGGGCCCGGTCTGGGTTTCTCAGCGGTCGGGGGTCGTACCCTGGGTCCGCACCTCCTCCCAGGGCTCTGCGTAGTGGGCTGCGTCAGACCCTGGGGAGTGCGAGCACCGTTTGAGAAGCACCAAACACAAGCGCATCGTCCGCCTCTTCCATTCAACACAGACTGTCAACCTGTCCCATTGTGTAGGTCTAGAGGATGAAGATAGAAGAAATAACGGGAAGGAGTCAGGAGAGGGAGAAAGGGTTACCCACAAGGCACCCCTAGCCTTCCTCTGGGACCTGGAAAAAGCCATATTGTAATGGTTACCGTCGGCTTCTTTCAAGAAACAAAAAGAGCTTTGCAAAGCCACTGCAGAAGTAATTCAGTGCAGTGGTGTATTTTCCAACCGACTCCTGTTCAAACACGGTTTGTATACAGTGCGCACTGTCAGTGTCATATGCCCTAATAGACCAGTCCCTCCAGAGGGTGGGAGCTGTAGGTAAAATCCAGGATGTTTTGGCTGCATCCCCGGCTCTGGGCCCAGCACGCTGCTGGCAGACTGCTGCGGTAGGCAGTTTGGCATTTCAAGGGCCACCCTCCTCACCTCCTAGTCACTGAGACAGCAACGCCAGAGGTACTGGGAAAAAGCCTGAACTGTAATCGTTCGGTAGTTTTCAAGTTCTGCCAAACAATACAAACTATTAATAAGCAGATAATCTACAAATTGACAGGAATTGCTGTAGAATCAACAACTCCCATAATTTTTTGCACAGGAATTATGAAATAGAAATAATTCAGGATATTATGTCCCAAGCCTATATACCAAATGTTACTCCCAATTCCTCAAACTCCCATCTAACCCAATGACAAGCAAAGTGCGTTAAGTTGCCCACTGATGTGGTTTAGAGGGTGCTCTTGGGGAAAATTCCCCACTTTAAAATATGTCTTCTCTGACGTCTGATGTTTAACCATTAGCAGTTCATATCTTTAGGCGAAGATTGCCCACTTCCTCTGGCAGGTAGTCTTTTATTTTTATTTTTTATCTTTTTTTTTTTGAGACAGATTCTCGCTCTGTCGCCCAGGCTGGAGGGCAGTGGCCGGATATCGGCTCACTGAACCCTAACAAGTGCAGGAAATAAATGTCTCAGGGAACTTATCACTCATTTAAGCAGTATATAATGAGCACCTACAATGCGCTAAGTATTGTGCTAGGTGCATGGGCCTGAACTGAAACAAAAAGAGGAAGCCAAACTTAACCTGTTTCGTCATTTTACCTAAAGCTGTGTCTACTCTTATTTATACATCAACTTTCACCCACTAATCTTAAAAACACCCCCCTTTTTTAATGGACAAAAGAAGTCAAAGAAATATTAAGTAACAAGCCAGTTTCTGTTAACCTTGAGTAGAAAATAATAGATTATCATGATTTCATTAAAGCAAAGAAAATGAGACAGACTTTAGATGATAATGGTATACAATTGGCCCTCAAAGTATTATTTGTTTGTAAAAGGCACAAAGTAATGCCATTTGTGACTATTATTTTTTTCGGTACCAGTGTTTTTTATTTTATTTTATTTTCAAGATGCAGCTTCACTCTTTTTCCCTGACTGGAGTGCAGTGGCACAGTCTCGGCTCACTGCAACCTCCGCCTCCCGGGTTCAAGTGATTCTCCTGCCTCAGCCTCCCAAGTAGCTGGGATTACAGGAATGTGCTACCATGCCCGGCTAATTTTGTATTTTTAGTAGAGACAGAGTTTCATCATGTTGGTCAGGCTGGTCTCGAACTCCTGACCTCAGGTGATCCACCCACCTCTACCTCCCAAAGTGCTGGGATTACAGGCATGAGACACCGCTCCTGGCCTCGGTTCCAGTATTTTAACTAAGCTACTGCAGTATGTATTTTATTCAATAGTATCTTAGAACATCGATACTAAATATACATATCAAATAAAACTTAGTTTAAAAGATTTCCTAGGAACACACACAAAATGTGTAGTGAAGAACATGAAAAAGAAGAAAAAAGTAAAGTAATAGGTATATAGAAGAAAGCTCTACTTGGCCGGGCGCAGTGGCTCACGCCTGTAATCCCAGCACTTTGGGAGGCCGAGGCGGGCAGATCACGAGGTCAGGAGATGGAGACCATCCTGGCTAACACGGTGAAACCCCGTCTCTACTAAAAATACAAAAAATTAGCCGGGCGCGGTGGCGGACGCCTGTAGTCTCAGCTAATCGAGAGGCTGAGGCAGGAGAATAGCGTGAACCCGGGAGGCGGAGCTTGCAGTGAGCTGAGATAGCGCCACTACAGTCTGGCCCGGGTGAAAGAGCGAGACTCCGTCTCAAAAAAAAAAATAATAATTAAAAAAGCTCTACTTACGCATGTATCACATGCTGGAAAACTTTTTAAGCAGGAAAGTCTTCAGCTAATTTGACTCCAGAATTATAATCTTCAATGAGATTGTAACATCCCAGCTTAAAACAACACAGTCAACGTAAATGTGCATAATTTCACATTTAATTATTCTCCAAAACACCTTTAAAAATTATTTGTGACTAAATGGATATATAAATCAAATCATGTCACATCTCTGCTCAAAAATCTGCATTGGCTCTCCGCTTCTCTCAGATAAAAGCCAAAGTCCTTACAATTGGCCTACAGAGCTCTAACACCATCTGGCTCCTCAAAACTTCGTCTCTTTCTACTCTCCCATCACTACCTACATACCTGCTTCTTTACTGTTTACCAAACATGCCAGATACAGTCCTGCTTTAAGGGCTTTGCACTGACTGGCCGGCCCCTCTGCTTGAAATTTGTTTTCTCCACATGGCTGCAGTTGTTAACTCCTTTATCTCCTCCACGTCTTTGCTCAAATTTCACCTCTCAATGAGGTCTACCCTTAATACTGCCCTTAAACTAGGCAAGAGGGGCCTCTGCCCTGGACCCCACACATGAATGGACCTCATCTCACAAATGTTCCCTAAAACAATAGTATTAAAAAACATGTATGTTCTCTGTCCCTTCTTGGGGGGTGTGGGGAGGTGGGTGGCATTGGTGAGAGTTGACACAGTTGTTAAATCAAGTTTAGCCTAAAGCTGCCTCCTTGCATATTTTAAGTTCAGCCTAAAGGTTTTTCTGTACATCATGAGCTATAACAAATGAAGGTGTAAACAGGCCATAGCCCACACCTGTGTCAATCCCTGAGTTTTGGCCAATCAAATGTAGCCAACTGTTTGAACTGTGTTCTAATAAAGCAAACGCTGAGCTGCAACCAACCCAGTTGTTTCTGTACCTCACTTCCATTTTCTGTATGTCACTTTCCTTTTGCTGTCCATAAATCTCCCACCGTGTGGCTGCGCGGGAGTCTCTGAGCCTACCTTGGCTCAGAAGGCTGCCTGATTCACGAATTGTTTTGTGCTCAATTAAACTTTAAATTTAATTTGGCTGAAGTGTTTCTTTTATCACAGTGTAACCTGTAACTCTAAACATCATCTCTTTCATAGCACCCATCAGCTTCTAACATACTACATAATTTGTCTATTTCTTATGTTTATTTTCATTGTCACCCCTGTTTAGACTATGGGCTCCACAAGGGCCACAATCTTTGTTCTATTTCTGATGTATCCCAAGGACCAGAACAGTGCCTGGCACTTAGTAGGCACTCAGTAAATATTTGGATAAATAGTTAAATTAAGAAAATTTTGTTGAAAATTCAAATAAATATCCAAACAGTAAGTTGACCATAATTTTGGAGCTGGACAATCTTAATGCCTACTGCAATGCATGGGAACAGAAATGGATTTGTGAAGTGGTAGAGGAATACAAGACTGCGATTTCAGCAATAGTAAGAAGGTCAGAATTATACAGATGAATAAAATTATGCATTTGACTAAAGACCTGCATCAATTTAATTTTGAGTGTCACTTTAATTTTGAAGTGCTTTACCTTATTAGGATGCATATACATCTTTTACAATTGTGCGTCTTGGTAGCCACCTTGAAACTTTATTGAAGAGGTCAATTCATAATTAATGTCTTCATTAAGTTGTTACCAACATCCATTTCATTTTGCAAAAGTTATCAGATTTGGTTTTAGTATGATTCTTTCATGTAATTTTCTCTACTAAATCACCAATAGCATTTGAAATCCCCAAAAGTATTGTCAGAGGCGTCCTAACTAGAGCGATTCCATCTTGAATAAAGGCCGGATAAAAGCAAACCTGCTGTGTTACATTCCCGAGGGGTTGGGCACTGTTGGTCACAAGACATTTATGGTTGAGGGAATGAGTTAATGATGCTAATAACTAATTAAAGACCCAGAATTTATGGAAATGTCCTAGTACTTTAAGAACAAAAAGCATTCTTAGTTTAAGACTAGGTTTTGCTTTAAAGATCATATAATATACTCATTAATTCTTGCTGAAATCAATAGTAACATAGGAAAATAACAATACTAATAGCATGTCACAAGCTGATCACAAGTCTTTGTAATAAAGTACACTATTCTTAACAACCTATAGAAGCAAGCACTATGTTTAAGGTAGTGAGTTCTTCCTTTTGCTTTCTAAGGACACCCTACTCTGTAATTGAGTAGTCTCTAATAAACTATCTTAACTTCACTATACTCTGCAGCTCGCCCTGAATTCTTTCCTGTGCAAGATCCAAGAATCTGCTCTCAGGGTCTGGGACAAGATCCCTTTTCCGGTGACAGTATCTATACTTTACTCAAAAACTCTCACGTCCTTGCATTAAAAGATTTCTACATGTCGGGGAGGAAATGTTTCCTCAACCCTCCCAGGGTTCCTGGCTGGCTCTGAAATAAAACAAAGACAGATTAACAGGAAAAAATATACAAATTTATTTAATCAGAGTTTTACGTAACATGGGGCCAAGCACAGTGGTTCACACCTGTAATCCCAGCACTTTGGGAGGCTGAGGCGGGTGGATCACCGGAAGTCAGGAGTTCGTGACCAGCCTGGCCAATGTGGCGAAACCCAGTCTCTACTAAAAATACAAAAACTAGCCAGGCATAGTGGCACATGCATGTAGTCTCAGCTACTCAGGAGGCTGAAGCAGGAGAATTGCTTGAACCTGGGAGACGGAGATTGCAGTGAGCCAAGATCGCACCACTGCACTCCAGCCCAGGCAACGGAGTGACATTCTGTCTCAAAAAAAAAAAAAAAAAAAAAAAAGTTTTATGTAACATGGAAGACTTCAGAAATGAAGACCGGAAGACCCAGGGAAAACTGCCCATTTTTCTGCTTAGATTCAATGAAGAATGGACAGCACTGTAGACATGTGATTGGACAAAAGAGTTTGATCTCGTGGTAATAGACCGAGGGGGGATCCAGCAATGCCTGTCTGTTCCGATTCTTCTTGGCATCTGTGTGCAGCATTCCTTCTTCCCGGATACAGGGCAGGATGCCTCTGGAATGAAGGTCTTATGACCTAGAATCATCCAACAGGGGAGGTCAGAGAATTTTTTTATGGCCAGCTTCTATTCAGAAAGTTGGGCAGAAAGAGTGGCTCATACCTGTAATCCCAGCTCTTTGAGAGGTGGGCAGTTCACTTGAGTTCAGGAGTTCGAGACCAGCCTGGCCAACATGGTGAAACCCCATCTCTACTAAAAATACAAAAAATTAGCCGGGTGTGGTGGTGCATGCCTGTAGTCCCAGCTACTCAGGAGGCTTAGGCAGGAGAATCGCTTGAACCTGGGAGGTGGAGGTTGCAGTAAGCCGAGATCCCACCATCGCACTCCAGCCTGGGTGACAGAGTGAGACTCTGTCTCAAAAAGCAAAAAGAAAGTTGGGAAGAAAAAGAATAATATTTCCAGGTTTATGACTTGCTTTGTGGTGGAGGAGTTCTACTTTCTATGGCTTGCCTTAGAGTTTCCACGGCCTATCTTGAAGGAGAAAGAGAAGCAGGAGAAAGGAGGGTGAGAGAAGGTGAAACAGATCTTGCTTCTGAGGCTCTCTTGGTTTCCTGCAGTTTGTTCAAAGCACTCAGCATGCCAAGGCACCAAACTTTGGGGTATTGTGTTGAGTCCTGACATAAACATCAGAAACTATTTCCTTGAGATGACCTTTCCAACCAACTAAAAGTGTTAAAAACAACTGAAATTTCCCCTCTCCTGTGGAAACCTCAGGCTGAACGTGTCATAGTGTTCTACTTTCATATATAGAAAAGACTGTACTTGTGGGCAACAGTGTCATTAATTCTCATACAAGTTTTTTTTTCCATTTAACAATTCTGTCCTGTTTTTCTGCTTACAACAGAAAACATATGCTATAGTAATAAACTCAAACACTAGACAAATACACAATATACAACGTAGGAAATGGAAGTATTCCATGATCTCACCCTAGAGATAATCATTAGTAATTGACAGACATGCCCACAGGTGTTTTAGTAGACACACACACAAACACACATAGTTGTGGTTATTATTGCATTATTATTACTATCACCACCACTATCATTGAAAAAAGAGAGATTTGGGTCTATTATTGAGCATAATTCTTAGCCAGGTGATTTACTTGGCATTACTTATTTTGACAGCCAGTATTTGTCTATCTTAATTCCCAATATATTCCTGCGGTCTACAAATTTCTGATTAACTTTCACCTGAAACCACACTAGCTGTTTATTTTGGAAGAGCAAACTAAATCTGTCCTACACAATAGACAGGCTAAGAAGTACAAGGAAATTAAGAAACATTATCATTTGAAATACAGGTTTCCTATTCATTCCTGTTTATAAAGCCAAGAGCCCAGTTTATCTGAGCAGATTAAAAATTACAAGGACTCGCTAAAACTCATGGTCTCTCATTCAGAAGGAAATAGAAAAACACAAATAATATAAGTTCTCAGCAGATGCATAGAATAGAATAACACTTGACCACTTCAAAGCAACAGTTGAAAAGGGTGACTCAGGGTCAAGGTAAGGAACAGGTAAAAATATATATGTGTGTTTCGCTGCCTCCTTGAAAAATGGTGCTACATAAAAAGATTCTGAATATTTACAGTTTACCATTCTATAAACACCACAATTTTGCACCATTTCAAAAAAATGTCTCCAACTCTACCTAGTCCCACACACAGAATCCACTACAGTAGTAAGATTGCAGGATTGATCTGTTATTTCAGACCTTCATTCAGTTATTGGGTATTTTCTGTATACTTGCAATGTTCAAGGCTTTGGAATGAAAGACATTCTGGGTCTGCTTGGACTCCAGACAAGTAAACAAGCAACTATAGTCGAGGGAGATGAAGGTTATGGCAACATTGTGCGTAGGATTCTCTGGAGCAGCGCGGAGGGACACCCAACTCCCATCCTGGGATCATAAAAAGCTTCTTGGAAAGCAGCCTCTAAACTTGAGACTTAAACACTCAGCAGGCTTTGAGCAGGCCAGTTTTTCCTAATATTTTAAGCACCTCCAGTCTAAGATAAATTTTTTAAAATAAGAGTAATGCAGAAAACATTTTTTTCATAAAGCTAATTTTATCCAAAGGACTGTCCTTTATTCTGAAACTAAGCCCTTCCTACTTTTGGAGAATTTAAATAATCTTCCTTTTATGATACAGAAATAACAGTTTGGATGTCTCAAATAGCCTTTCTGGACCAATCAGTTGACAATAAAGAGTTGGAAATTTGATTGGTCCCTGAAAGGGTTTGTTGTTTTGTTGGTGTTGTTGATATGGTTGTTATTTGTATGGGCGTGTGTGTGCATAGATGTGTGTGCATAAAATCCGTGTGTCCAGAAACAACTGACAGCTGAGCTGGGATGGACAGCAAGGGTGTTCCAAGCCCAGGCTCCTCCTCCAACCAGCAGCATCAGCATTACCTGGGAGCTTGAGAGAAATGCAGAATCTCAGGCCATGCCCCAGACTTACTGAGTCAGGCTTAGCATTTTAACACGATCCCCGGGTGATTTATATGTACATTAAAGTATATTTTGTTCCCTCCATTCCTAGAATAGAGGGAACAGCGGGTATAAAGACTGGTGGGAAAGATCACGGTGGTTTGAAGATCTTTTCCAAAGTGAAAGAGTCAATGCCACAATTCAGGGAGGCTGAGAATGATGCTGGGAAGGCAGGCAGGTGGGTGGAGGAAGATGATTTGTGTTTTACTTCTGCTCCCACTGTAGCTGCATAGATCACTATTCCCTATTTCCTCCTTTCATTTTTAACTAAGGCATGTTCCATGTTGCTTAAAATGTCCAATCACTTATTGAAAAACCTCAAAGCACATGTTAAATATCCTGGGACAAATATCTTGGGGCTATTGTGTGGCAATTACAGGGATGCTGATTAAGCATTTCATAACTATAATAACACAATATTCTGACTCTCCAGAGTGGCTGGTGGAGAGTCTGTTTTAATAAGGACCAGACACCAAAGGATAAAAATTTACCCTAAGCCAGGGGGCAGCTACATCATGCTGATGGAAGGAGTCCTGCCCCACACAACTGCTTGGTTGTCTAAATTAGTCTTCATCCTACACCTGCATAAGAACTGTGCTACAGCCTGGGCAACATGGCAAGACCCTATCTCTACAAAAGTAAAAAATTAGCCAGGCATGGTGACACACGCCTGTGGTCCCAGCTACTTGGAAGCCTGAGGCAGGAGGATGGCTTGAGCCCAGGAGTTTGAGGCTTGCAGTGAGGTATGGTACTCAAGCCTGGGTGACAGAGCGAGACTCTGTTTCAAACAAACAGACAAACAAAAACAAACAAACTGCATTGAATGTACTAAAGGCATGATCTTTCCTTATTTATGAGTTAAGATTTAAATTAAAATATGCTTTTTCTTGGCCGGGCATAGTGACTCGTGCTTGTAATCCCAGCACTTTGGGAGGCTGAGGCAGGTGGTTCACTAGAACCACTCAGTAGTTTGAGACCAGCCTGGCCAACATGGTGAAACCCCATCTCTACTAAAAATACAAAAATTAGCCAGGCATGGTGGCAGCTCCTATAGTCCCAGCTACTCAGGAGGCTGAGGTGAGAGGATCACTTGAACCTGGGAGGGAGAGGTTGCAGTGAGCCGAGATCATGTCACCGCACTCCATCCTGGGTGACAGAGTGGGACTCTGTCTCAAGAAAAAAAGAAAATACATTTTCTTTTTTATCTGCTAAAAGGGAAAGAACATCCCACATGGCCAAAAAAACAAAACACAATCCAATATAGTTTTCCCTCCCTCTCCTGCTTCCCACAGTATTTCTATTGTTATTTTCTTTAAAAAAAATGGTTTGTCTTCTCAAATACACTTTGAGTTTACTAAGTTGTGGGAACTGCATTTTGACTTTTTGTGTTCCCAAGTAACCAAGGTAGTAGTTGCTCAATTAATTTTTTGGATAAACGAGGAAGCTGATGACACAGAAGAATATAAATAGTTGAATGAATTCTCTATGATCTGTAGCCACATGGCTGACAGTTGCTAGAGCTTATTATTATACTTGGGGAGATTTTATTTAAATTCTGATTTTTTGTTCCTGGCAGATCGGAATATTTGACATCTATGTGCCCTATGATGTGACATCCTGTTTGTTAGTAAAGTTCTGTTTTCTGCAAAGAGAAACTAAACTTGTAAAAATGACATAATCATTTGCCCAGCTCACTACATAAGCTAATTTGAGAGGCACAGTCCTGTCATATATTTGGAATCAGAACTGAATATTAGTGTAGCATGGTCCACTTTAAGCCTAAGCTATGTTTATGACTAGAATTTAGATGGTACGAGTTATACGGGTCCTGGTGGGGCAGCCCCAGGCATTGGTTCAGAGGAGTGACTGAAGAGCTCTCATTCAGACCTTCCCAGGTACAAAAGCTTATCTGATAATAAAAGTTGGGTTGCAGAATGGAACAGGTGACTGTAAGCACAGCAGAGGGTCTGGCATCCAGATTTGCTCCTTACCTGTTTTCTAGATATTTCTATGTCCAGTCCTGGACAAAAGCATCTGAGATTTAAAACAGAAAGGCTTGTTTTCCCTAAAATGTCTGTGGGATCCCTGGTTGAAGTCAGCACTGACATGCTATCCATATAACCGAGTGGTTGTACCAGAGAAAAGAGAATGGCTGGCCCTGTCCCGCTATCAAGAGGGGCCAGCACCACACACCAGCCATGACAGAGAGGGGTCACTCACTCTACCAGGTGTTTGCTGGAGCCTCTGATGGAAGAAAAATCCTTCTCCCTGCCCAGATTGTGCTGACATCAGAGGAGGAAATATAGGAATCATGGGAACACAGAATTCATTTTGTAAACAGTTCACTTATGGTCAACTTTGTTGTTGTTGTTTTTGGAGACGGGGTTTTGCTCTTGTCGCCCAGGCTGGAGTGCAATGACACGATCTCCCTCACTGCAACCTCTGCCTCCCGGGTTCAAGCAATTCTCCTGCCTCTGCCTCCCGAGTAGCTGGGATTACAGGCATGCACCACCACATCCGGCTAATTTTGTATTTTTAGTAGACATGAGGTTTCTCCATGTTGGTCAGGCTGGTCTCGAACTCCCAACCTCAGGTGATCCACCCGCCTTGGCCTCCCAAAGTGCTAGGATTACAAGCGTGAGCCACCGCGCCTGGCCGGTCAACTTTCTTTTTTAAACGTTTCTATTCCGTGAGTACAGTTCTGAGACAATTGCATCGCTTAGCAGTGTAGATGTAGCCCAGGTGGGTCATCTTATGGGAAATAAAATGTATGATCTATTCGGAAGTATCTGACAATATCTGCCACCAAAAAAAAAAAAAAAAAAAATCTAAAACACACATTGATATTGGAGCAAATGCAGACATTAGGTTGGCAAACCAATCACTGAAATATAATATCAAGAAGACAGGGCAACAGGGTGTTACTAGATTCTAGAAATCTAACTGAGGAAGACAGTTGACTCAGATAAGATGTATCAAAGCACCTTTGAATTGGAAAGGGCCTCAAATATGCAATGCATTTAAACATGTCTGGGCCCACTTAATAATGTAATCTTCTGGATCTTTATAGTTTTAAAAATCATCCTGTCACTTCACACGTGTTGGCAAGGTAGGGTAGCTTAATCAGCAGAGCCCCAAGGCAACATCCCTGGAGCAGGTGAGCTCGGCCTTCAGCTGGAGGGGGACTCCAGGCCAGGAGGCAGTCTTGGCAAGTTGCATTCCCACCCTGAGTGATGAGGGAGTGGCTTGTGGCAGAGCAACTCTGGCTCTGCGGGTGGACTCTGTGACCAGTGTGCAAGCTGCCATTGAACTCAGCTTCTCCTGAATTCTATGTGATTTCAAGAAGATACTCTCCCTTCTATCCCACTCTCCCTGATTCCACCCCCTTGGACACATGTTCCCTAATAGTCAGATACTAGCAACCTGAAGTAAAAATAATGACGGCCGCCCTGCTTCCGCCATTGTGGTTCCTACTGCCCAAGTTCCTCCTCCAGACCTAAAAGCACCAGCCAAGATTTTGAGGTCACCAAATCACAGTAATAGCTGACCAGGAAATGTATTGTAAAGCACCATCACAGGACCTCTCACCCAGCAGGATAACCTCTCCTGACTTGTTTCCTGCCAAACCCATAGCACCATTTTTGGAACTCAGCTGCTGACTGATAATTAGGTCTAATAGGAGAGCAAGGGTTTCCTGATGGGATACAGACAACACCATATTTACTGGCAGCTGTGCCTTTGCTAATTGTTGGAAACCTGGCTTTTAACCCATGCTTGCCACCCACCATGCTGGGCTCAGGCAATCTAATGAACACAGTTCTTTGCACATTAGTATTTAAATTTTTTTTTTACAGATTTAGGGGTGCAAGTGCAATTGTATTACATGGATATATTGAGTAGTGGTGAGGTCTGGGCTGTTAGAGTACCCATCACCTGAATAGTGAACATTGTACCCAACAGGTAACACATTTTTTAAGAGACAGGATCTTGTTCTATAGCCCTGTCTGGAGTTCTGTGTGCAATCATAGCTCACTGTAACCTCAAACCCCTGGGCTCAAGCAATCCTCCCACCTCAGCCTCCCAAAGCACTGGGATTACAGGTGTGAACCACCACTACCAGCCATTCTTCACACATTGAAGACAACTATGAGGTGAGTATCCTACCCACTTGTGGCTGACTGTTAATACACAGAAATAATATTAGAGCATTTGTCACTGGGGAGAATACATTTGCAGGTATGGGTGTGAATTCTGACCAGTTGAAGGCAGGCATATAATAGATGTCTGAAAGCAAGACAAATCTTTGGCCACTGGGGACTGGTTTTGCAAAAGCAGGGAGCATATGGCGGGAATGGTCGCCTGCTAACAATATTCACCTCAAGAACTGCTGAGTGGCACCCCAGGTGCTACCTGTGTTAACTGGCTGTCTAACCAGACACCTGACAACATGTGTGGAGGACACTGTTTGAAGGGAAAGAGAACAGGGAAAAATATTTTACTCCAGATACATAGTCTGTTCCTTTAACACCATTCATTATACTCATCTTTTCCCCTCTAATTAGAAATGCCACTTTTATTACATACTAACTCCCTTTCAGCTTTTCAGGCTGTTTCTGAGCATTCTAAAACAGAGAAATATGGAACTATAAACTGAAAGCTCTGAGAATGGATCTAACTTCCTTTCTTTCTTTCTTTTTTTTTTTTTTGAGACGGAGTCTCGCTCTGTCGCCCAGGCTGGAGTGCAGTGGCACAATTTTGGCTCACTGCAACCTCTGCCTCCCGGTTTCAAGTCATTCTCCTGCCTTAGCCTCCCAAGTAGCTGGGATTATGGGCATGCGCCACCACGCCCAGCTAATTTCTGTATTTTTAGTAGAGACGGGGTTTCACCATGTTAGCCAGGGTGATCTCGAACTCCTGACCTCAGGTGATCTGCCCACCTCAGCCTCCCAAAGTGCTGGGATTACAGGTGTGAGCCACCATGCCCAGACTGAGAATGGATCTAAGTTTCTCAGAAGAGTGAACTCTTGTCTCGTTTTTTCTTAGAGTTATCAGCAACTACATGCATAGCACTGTACCTTTTATGTCTTGTATTTACAAGTCATTGGTTAGGTCATCTGAATTCTATAATTGTCTCAAACATGTTTCTTTTTGTATTGACCACTTCCTCAATTTCAGAGAAGAAGGAAGACTATATCTCACTCAATATTAGTTTAGCAATATATGTGAAAAAAACTCAGCAGGCTTGCCTTATACTGCCTTCCCTTGTGGAGAATCAATAGCATAGACATTCTGAAAACATGCATGGTAAGAATGGAGGTTGTAAGATGTACAAGTAAGTTGATTGGTCAGTTATTCTAAGTCAAGGATCCTGTGTTGATTTATTACTCGGTAAAAGTGTCATCATTTGACACCGTCATAACAGTGACTAAACACATCTTTGCCACACCTAATATGTACAGCAAACCAGAAAGAACCATGGGAAGTGGGTTAGGGTATTTATTCTAATGCTATAACTGATACTGCCTAGATGGAATGTATACATACCATGTAGGACTTACTGTCTGTTTTTACCAAGAGTATTTTTTCTATTCTTGGTTCAGGGCTTTCCTTCTCTGTGCCTATTCCTTATTTATGGAAAACTGTCTCCTCAATTGTGATGTTTTAAAATCCCACCAGAACCTATCTTGTCACCCTTAAATGTCCCTAGGATTCTACTTCATCTTCAAAGATTTTTCTTACGCAAATGGGAAGAACAAGTATTGCTGCATTTTTTCCTTTAAAGAATTCCATTTAGCGGCCGGGCACGGTGGCTCACACCTGTAATCCCAGCACTTTGGGAGGCTGAGGTGGGTGGATCGCCAGAGGTCCGGAGTTCAAGACCAGCCTAACCAACATGGTGAAACCCCATCTCTACAAAAAATAAAAAAATTAGCCGGGCGTGGTGGAGGGTGCATGTAATCCCAGCTACTCAGGAGGCTGAAGCAGGAGAATCAGCCTAGGAAATTAAGTGACTTGCTGTACGTGATATACAGGGCAGGGCTGG